>NC_000008.11:15920708-16223738 GCF_000001405.40 Homo sapiens | reverse complement strand
CAGAGCTTCTAGAGGGAGGAGTGGGCCACCATCTTTGCTGTTTTGGCAATTTAGCCATACCAGCTTCTTGGCTTTGGAGAGCCCAATCTGACCAAGGGCAGAGCAGTACCCAGTACAACAGAGTTGCTCTACAAAATTGTGGCTAGATTGCTTCTTTCTGCTGAACCCCTATCCCATTTCTTCTAACTGGGTGAGACCTCCCCACTGGGCTCTCCAGCCACCTCCTACAGGTGTGTTTGGGCTGGCAACAGGTCCATACCTTGCTGGGAAGGAGTTCCCAAAGAAGGAGGCAGGCTGCCATCTTTGCTGTTTCACAGGCTTCGTTGGTGATACCTCTAGGTACTGGAAAATCCAAGGCAAATAGTGTCTGGAGTGCAACACTAGCAAACCACAGTAGCCCTATGGTAAAGTTGCCTGACTGTTAAAAGAAAAAAAAAAAAATGCTGTCCAAAGGAAAGCAACCTCAAAGACTGAAGGTAGATAAGTTCACAAAGATGAGAAAGAATGAACACAAAAATGCCAAAAACTCAAAAAGGTAGAGTGCCTTCTTTCCTCCAAATGATGCGGCACCTCCCCAGCAAGGGTTTGGAACTGGACTGAGGCTAAGATGGCTGTAATGACAGAAATAGACTTCAGAATGTGGATAAAAATGAACTTTGATGAGCTAAAAGAGCACAATGATTTAAACCCAATGCAAGGAAGCTAAAAATTATGATGAAGCAATGCAGAAGCTGACAGCCAAAATACCCAATATAGAGAAGAACATAACTGACCTGATGGAGCTTAAAAACGCACTATAAGAACTTCACAATGCAATCACAAGTATCAACAGCAGAATAGACCAAGCAGAGGAAAGAATCTCAGAGCTTGAAGACTTTCTGAAATAAGACAGGCAGACAAGAATAGAGACAAGAATAGAGAAAAAAGAATGAAAGAATTGAAAGAATAGAGAAAAAAGAAATAGAAAAAAGAACGAAAAGAAATGAACAAAACCTCCAAGAAATATGAAATTATGTAAAGAGACCAACTCTACAACAGACTGGGGTACGTGAAAGAAGTGAGGAGAATGGAATCAATTTGGAAAACATATTTCAAGATATCATCAAGAACTTCCATAACCTAGCTGTACAGGTCAACATTCAAATTCAGGAAATGTGGAGAACCCCAGTAAAATACTCCATGAGAAGATCATCCTCAAGACACATAATCATCAAATTCTTCAGGATCAAAACGGAAGAAAAAATGTTAAGGGCAGCCAGAGAGAAAGCCCAGGTCACCTATGAAAGGAAGCCCATAAGAAAAGGAAAAATAAGATCTTTTTCAGACAAGCAAATGCTGAGGGAATTTGTCACCACCAGAGCTGCCTTACAAAATCGCCTGAAGGAAACACTAAATATAGAAGGGAAAAATTATTACCAACCACTACGAAAACACACTGAAGTACACAGACCAGTGATACTACAAAGAAACCACAGGTACAAGTCTTCCAAATAGCCAGCTAGCATCATGATGACAGGATCAAATCCACACATATCAATACTAACCTTAAATGTAAGTGAGCTAAAAGCCCCAATTAAAAGACAGTGTTGCAAGCTGGATAAAGAATCAAGACCCATTGGTATCCTGTCTTCAGGAGACTCATCTCACATGCAGAGATACATACAGACTCAAAATAAAGGGATGGAGGAAAATTTACCAAGCAAATGGCAAACAGAAAAAAAGGGATTGCACTCCTAGTTTCTGACAAAACAGACATTAAGCCAACAAAGATTAAGAAAGACAAAGAAGGGCATTATATAATGGTAAAGGGTTCAATTCAACAGGAAGACCTAACTATACTAAATATATATGCGCTCAACACAGGAGCACCCAGACTTATAAGGCAAATCCTTAGAGACCTTCAAAGAGACTTAGGCTGCCACATAGTAACAGTGGAAGACTTTAACATCCCACTGACAATATTAGACCGATCGTCAAGACAGAAAATTTCCAATGATATTCAGGACCTGAATTCAGCTCTCGAGCATATGGACCTAATAAGTATTTACAGAATTCTTCTCCCAAAACAACAAAATATACATTCTTCTCATTGCTACATGAACATACTCTAAAATTGATCATGTAATTGGAAGTAAAACAGTCCTAAGCAATTGCAAAAGAACTGAAATCATAACAGTCTCTGAGACCACAGCACAATCAAATTAGAACTCAAGAATAAGAAATTCACTCAAAACCATAAAACTACGTGGAAATTGAACAACCCACTCCTCAATGACTTTTGGGTAAATGATGAAATTAAGGCAGAAATCAGTAAGTTATTTGAAACTGATGAGAAGACAGAACCCTTGTTGCCTTGGATTTTTCAGTCCCTAGAAGCATCACCAGTGAAGCCTGTGAAACAGCAAACATGGCAGCCTGCCCTTTCCTCTGGGAACTCCATCTTAGCAGGGTATGGACCTGTTGCCAGCCTGAACATACCTGTAGGAGGTGGCTGGACACCCAAGTTGGGAGGTCTCACACAGTCAGGAGGAATGGGATTGGGGGCCTGCTGAAAGAAGCAATCTAGCCACAATTTCATAGAGCAGTTTTGCTGTGTTGGGTACCATTCCACTCCTGGTCAACTTGGGTTCTCTGATGCCTGGATGCTGGCATGTACCAGAATCTCTGGGACACAGCTAGGGCAGGGTTAAGAGGAAAATTTACAGTACTAAATGCCGACATCAGAAAGCTAGAAAGATGTCAAGTTAACAATCTAACCTCACAACTAAAAGAACTAGAGAACCAAGAGCAAACAAAACCCACAGCTTTCAGAAGACAACAAATAACCAAAATCAGAGCTGAATTGAAGGAGATGGAGACATGAAAAACTATTCCAAGGATCAACAAATTCAGGAGCTGATTTTTTTTAAAGAAAATGATAACAAAATACATTGCTAGCTAGCCTAATAAAAAGAGAGAAGATTCAAATAAACACAATCAGAAATGATAAAGGGGATATTACCACTTACCCCACAGAAATACAAACCGACAGTCAGAAAATACTATAAACACTTCTATGCACATAAACTAGAAAACCTAGAAGAAATGGATAAATTCCTGGATACATATACCCTCCCAAGGCAGAACCAGGAAGAAATGGAAATCCTGAACAGCCAAAAAAAGGCCCATAGCCAGATGGATTCCACGCTGAATTCTACCATAGGTACAAAGAAGAGCTGGTACCATTCCTACTGAAACTATTCCAAAAAGTTGAAAAGGAGGGATTCCTTCCTAACTCATTCTATGAGGCCAGCATCATCTTAAACAAAACCTGGTAGAGATACAACAAAAAAGACAACTTCAGAGATCCAGGAAAAACAGACAACTTCAGGCCAATATCCTTACTGAACATTAATGCAAAAATCCTCAACTAAGTACTGGCAACCCAATCCAAAAGCACACTAAAAATCTTATCCACCATGAACGAGTAGGCTTCATCCCTGGGATGCAAGTTTGGTTCAACATACAGAAATTATTAAAAGTGATCCATCACATAACAGAAGTAATGACAAAAACCACTTGATCATCTCAATGGATGCAAAAAAAGGCTTTTGATAAAATTCAACATCCCTTCATGTTAAAAACTTTCAATAAACTAGGTATCGAAGGAACATACCTCAAAATGAAAAGAGCCATATGTGAAAAACCAACAGCCAATATCATACTGAATAGGCAAAAGCTGGAAGCATTCCCCTTGAAAACAGGCATGAGACAAAGATGCCATTTCTCACCACTCCTTTCAACACAGTATCGGAAATTCTGGCCGGGGCAATCAAGCAAGAGAAAGAAATAAAGGTATTCAAACAGGAAGAGAGAGGAAGTCAAACTATCCTTGTTTGCAGATGACATAATCCTATATCTAGAAAACCCCATCAACTCAGCCCCAAAGCTTCTTAAGCTGATAAGCAACTTCAGCAAAGTCTCAGAATACAAAATCAATGTAAGAAACTCACTAGCATTCCTATTCAGCAACAACAGTCAAGCTCAGATCCAAATGATGAATTAACTCCCATTCACAATTGCCACAAAAAGAACAAAATACCTAGGAACATAGCTAAGAAGGGACATAAAGGACTTCTACAAGGAGAACTACAAACCACTGCTCAAATAAATGATAGATGACACAAACAAATAGAAAAACATTCCATGCTCATGTATAGGAAAAATCAATATTGTGAAAATGGCCATATTGCCCAAAGCAATTTATAGATTCAAGTTATTCCCTTTAAACTACCATTGACATTCTTCACAGAAGTAGAAAAAATCATTTTAAAATTTATATAGAACCAAAAAAGAGCTCAAATAGTCAAGGCAATTCTAAGCAAAAAGAACAAAGATGTAGACATCACAATACCTTACCTAAACTATTCTACAGGGCTACAGTAACTAAAACAGCATGGTACTGGTATAAGAGCAGACACATAGACCAATGGAACAGAATAAAGAACACAGAAATACGACCAGACACCTACAACTATCTGGTCTTCAAGAAACCCGGCAAAAATTAGCAATGGGGAAATAAATGGTGCTGTGATAACTGGCAAGCCATATGCAGAAAATTGAAACTGGACCCCTTTCTTACATTATGTACAAAAATTAACTCAAGATGGATTAAAGACTTAAATGTAAAACTCAAAACTATAAAAAACCTAGAAACAAACCTAGGCAATACCTTTTAGGACATAGATATGGTCAAAGATTTCATGAGGAAGATTCCAAAACCAATTGCAAAAAAAGCAAAAATTGACAAATGGGATCTAATTAAGCTAAGAAGCTTCTGCACAGCAAAATAAACTATCATCAGAGTGAACAGACAACCTACAGAATGGGAAAAAATTTGGCAAACTATGCATCTGAGAAAGGTCTAATATCCAGCATCTATGAAGAATTTAAACAGGAAAAAAAAAGGCAAGAAAAAAACAAATAACCCCATTAAGGAGTGCACAAAGGACATGAACAGACACTTCTCAAAAGAAGACATATGTGTAGCCAACGTCATACAAAAAAAAAGATCAACATCACTGATTTTTTGAAATACAAAATCAGAAACTGATCTTTGGAAATACAATATCAAAAACTGATCTTTTGAAATACAAAATCAAAAACTGATCTTTTGAAATACAAATCAAAACCATAATGAGATACCATCTAGCACCAGTCAGAATGGCTATTACTAAAAAGTAAAAAAATAACAGATGCTGGCAAGGTTTTGGAGAAAAATTAACGCTTTTACACTGTTGGTGGGAGTATAAATTAGTTAAACCATTGTAGAAGACACTGTGGCAATTCCTGAAAGACCTAAAGACAGAAATACCATTCAACCCAAAGATTCCGTTACTGAGTATATACTGAAAGGAATATAAATTGTTCAGTTATAAAGACATACAGACACGCATGTTCATTGCAACACTATTCCCAGTAGCAAAGACATGGAATCAACCTAAATGCCCATTAATGATAGACTGGATAAAGGAAATGTGTTACATATACATCATGGAATACTATGCAGCCTTAACAAAAGAACAAGATCATGTCGTTTGCAAGCACATGGATGGAGCTGGAGGACATTATCCTTAGCAAACTAATGCAGGAACAGAAAACCAAATACCGCATATTCTCACTTGTAAGTGGGAGCTAAACAATGAGAGCACATGGACACATAGAGGGAAACAACACACACTGGGGACCATTGGAGGGTGGAGGATAAGAGGAGAGAGAGGATCAGGAAAAATAACTAGGGGGTATTAGGCTTGATACATGGATGATGAAATGATCTGTACAACAGACCCCCAGGACACAAGTTTACCTGTGTAACAAACTTGCACATGTATCCCTGAACTTAAAAGTTAAAAAAAATACCCAGAAAGGACAAATTTATAGAGACAGAAAATTGATTATTGGTTGCTGGGAATGAGTAGGAATGAGAATTAACTGTAAACCAGCAGTTAGAGTTACAGAGAGGTAACAGAAATGTTCTAAAATTAGATTGTGGTGATAGTTATGCAATACAGTAAATTTATTAAAAATCAGATAAATATTTAAAACGGGAATTTTCTAGTATGTAATTTATATCTAATAAGTCTGGGTTTTTTAAAAGTATATGATAAGAGAAACTAGAGTGTGACTATAAAGACTGCTTTTAAAGAAGTATTATGGTTGTACGCCGGGCGCAGTGGCTCACGCCTGTAATCCCAGCACTTTGGGAGGCCGAGGTGGGCAGATCACGAGGTCAGGAGATCGAGACCATCCTGGCTAACACGGTGAAACCCCGTCTCTACTAAAAATACAAAAAATGAGCCGGGTGTGGTGGCGGGTGCCTGTAGTCCCAGCTAGTTGGGAGGCTGAAGCAGGAGAATGGCGTGAACCCAGGAGGCGGAGCTTGCAGCGAGCCAAGATCCCACCACTGCACTTCAGCCTGGGTGACAGAGCGAGACTCCATCTCAAAAAAAAAATTAAAAAAAAGTAAAAAGAATTATCATGGCCGTAAAGGCAAATAGAGAAATAAGTGATTTGTAGAATTTATGTTGTCAGTGATATAGTTTTTTTTATTTGTTTTATTTACTGATAAGAAATTTTACAACTTTTACCTTATGTCCCCTTCATTTAGGGCATTTTGTGGGGGCGCAGGTATTTTCTAATTATACATATATCTCAGGGTTCTTGAATTTCTGCGTTTGTGAAAATATCTATCTCCTTTACAACCAGTAACAACTGGGAAGAGTATAAAAATCTGTTTATATACTCTTTATATACTTTTAGGGTACATGCACATGTACCCTAAAACTTAAAGTATAATAATAATAAAATTAAATTTAAAAAAATCATTGAGTCACAGTAATTTCACTGAGGACTCTGAAGACATTGCTTTACTGTTATTTCAGCATTAAAGGGGAAGTGGAAAATTTGCTTTTTCCTTCTTTAATACGTGACTTGATTTTTCAACTGGGTATCCTATAGAATTGCTACTTTTATAGTTAATTACCATGACCAGTAATTAACTATATTGATCTTCATTGACATTCATTGTTTATTCAATACTTCCTCTGCAAAATGACCATTATAAATTATAGATTTCTATTTTTAGTTTCAAAAGACTGAATGTTTTGGACATTTGATTTGTTCTATTGTTTTACTTCTTAGGGATACTAATTATCTCTATGTTGTATGTAGTTTTAACTCCCTGCTCTTCACTCATTTATTTTGGCCAAATTCTTCTCCCTGTGATTAACTGTGCTATCTGTGGAATGTCTTCATATTTCTCCTCTTTTCTAGAATAGGCTTGATTTTTAAATCATTTTCTCACTGATTTATGGCAGATTACTATTTGTTGTTTAAAATAACTCTCTTCTTTGAGGTTTTGTGTCTCTTATTTGAGCTTTTGTTTCAGATAACAGGTTTTCTTTAATTTATTTGATTTGTTGGAGTAATGCTTATTCATAATATTCACCCATTTTCTCATGAATTTTTTTCATATTCATCTGCCATTTGTTTCCATGGTTCTGTCAGTGCTTTTTCTTGTAGTACTTACATGCATCCACGTTGAACCCCTTCCAGATATAACTTATCATTGAATGGGGGATTTTCTTTTTTTTTTTTTTAATTTTTTTTTTTTTAATTATACTTTAAGTTTTAGGGTACATGTGCACATTGTGCAGGTTAGTTACATATGTATACATGTGCCATGCTGGTGCGCTGCACCCACTAACTCGTCATGTAGCATTAGGTATATCTCCCAATGCTATCCCTGTTAAATATTTTTTAAAAGATGGCATTAAGAAGGGGTCAGGAGAGTGAAGTGCCCTTTATATCTCATATGCTTCATTCTGTGTTCTCTAAATTTAACAACAATCAGCCTTAGGTATCACTTTGCAATAGTCTAGTTTTTCTAAACCTCCTTGGCTTTAACTAAAGCTCTGTCTTTCCATGTGTCTTAGTGCTTTTTTTTTTTTTTTTTTTTTGGCTGTAAGAGAATATCACAAACTGGGTAATTTATAAACAATAGAAGTTTATTTGGGTCACAGTTCTGGAGCTGGGAAGTCCAAGACCATGGTGCTGACATCTGGCGAGGGTCATTCCAAAGCAGAAGTATCACATGGCAAGAGAACATGTGAGAGACAAAGAGAAAAGGGGCGCTAAACTTCCATGCTAACAGCATTAATTCATTCATGGGGATAGAGCCTTCGTGATCTAATATCACCTCTTAAAGGCTCCACCTGTTAACCATGGTGCAATGGCAATTAAACTCCAACGTGAGTTCTGGAGGAGACATTCAAATCACAGCACTATAATTATTTTTATTTTGCCGGGTCTGTCCCACAGACCCTGGCCAATGGATGAAATGAGTACTCAGACATAGGTATGCAGTGTAAGAGCTACTAGGTGACTGCCTGGCTCCAGTGACCAGAGAGCAGCAGTCCGGAGAACTTGCTTTTATTCAGTGCAGGCACAATGCTGAAAACCTGGAGCCCACACAACCTGTAGGTAATTAACATTTCTTGTTCCCCTTTCAGGGAGTCTCATGCGCACGCGGGATGTTCAAAGGTCAGTTCCTGGTCAACATAAGTAAACAAGCCTGTTTAAGATAAATCCCCCCATACTGCCTTGTTCCTAATCCTTGCCCTCTGCCTCAGGGTTATAGAACAGCCGCCTTCAGCTATTCTCCCCCAGGGCTCTGCAGAACCTTCCCACCTTTCAGCAGGTTTGCATCCTTTCCCTGTAGTTTTTCCCACCACTCTAACAGATCCCTCACATTATTTTTTATTTATTTTATTTTTTTAATTGAGAAAGTCTCTCTCTGTCACCTAGGCTGGAGTGCAGTGGCATGATCGTGACTCACTGCAGCCTTCCACTCCTGGGCTCAAGCAATCCTACTGCCTCAGGCTCCCAGGTAGGTGGAACTGTAGGTGTACATCACCACACCTGGCAATTTTTTTTATATTCAGTAGAAATCAGGACTCGCTATGTTGCTCAGATTATTGTTTATTATTTTTATTCCTTGCAAGATCGAGGAGACTGTGTTGTTCATATTGTAGTTTTGGTCCCATAGTCTCCACTATACTATTCCAGCAGCCTGCTTTACATAAAAATTATTCCTCTTTGTTTCTCTCATTTCAAGTTAGTAATACAAAATAAAGATCTAATGTGTGGCAAGCAGCACAACTACTGAGCCGGATTCTTTTTTCCAAGTGAGGGAATTCTGATGGAGCTCATGATACGATGTCTATTTTGGGGTAACTTTCTGAGTTAATATTTGTGTGTACCTTCTCTCCAAGGAAAAATTTTACTAAAATTGACAATTCTATCTTTAGAGATTGTAATTAGGAATTACAATTGCTCTCTTGTCAAAGGTGGAGTCATCTTTTTATGAAATTGTTTTCCATTGATTTTAGAAAGATTACTTTTTCCACCATTTTATATTTGAACTACTTAAACTAAATTTTGTGAATGTTAAATTTAAAATACTTTCAGGAAATTGAAAGGTGAAAATATCCAGAAAAAATGTGTATGTGAATTTCGACTTATACTGTCGAAGTAGCGTGTGGACTCTGGATCTAGAGACATGAATTGGGGCCTCTTTTATAGAAGTGCTTCTAAGAATCATGAAATCCCTGAACTTGCATGGGCAGACAGCATTTTGTGAAAAGTAAAGCAAAACATAAACCAAAAAATAGATAGTGAAATTGGCTGAGAAAGAAAGTTCAATGGTATGGGAGCAGAAACAGAAGTTAAAGGAGGAGAAATTTTTAATGAGTGATTTTAGGCTCAGTGGTGACTTTAGAACATTTTCTCTGATGATGAGGGTGAAGGCACATTGCAGTTGATTGAGAAATCATGTGGTGGCAAGAATGAAAACAAAAAAAGAGTGAAATAGAATGAGGAGAATGTCAACTAAAGAAATTTTAATTTTAAAATATTTATTTGCTTACTTTTATTAAGACGTTTTCATAAACCAAGGAGAAGGTGCTGGAAGAAGTAGAAAATTGAAAAAAAAAATCAAGAAAGAGCACAGTTGATTGGAAAGACTTACGAGGCTACAGAAAGCGGTAGAATTCAGGACAGAAGGGAATATGTTATTTATCTCTGAACAGCAGGAGTTGTAGGGATAAAGTCACCCTCTGGCATTAGTGGCAAGGCTTACGAAAGCATATCTAGGGAAGTGTGTAATCTTTGAGTCCGTATCTGGAGGAAGGTCAAGTTTCTTAATCTCATTTTTCTCAGGAAGGCATGAAATTTGATATTTTGCTAAGTGTAAAGGAAAAGTGAAGTTTGATTGGAGCTTGAAGAGATTACCAAAAAGCTTAGATTAGATACTGAAGGGATAAATAACAAGTAAAGAGATTGGCCTCTTAAGGGGCCTCAATTAAATTGGAAATAATAAATTTGTAGTGCAGACCCTGTAGCATGTCACTGTCTTTCACTGGCCCCAGCAGCCCAGGAGTAGAAACCAAAAGTTTACATCACAGGTTTGATGAAAATTGGCGATTTGAAAGACAGCCCCCGCAGAAGATAATGGAAAGTTTGGTGAACCTGTGAGTGATCATAGTAGTTCTGATTGTTAAAACTTTGTCTCCTGGATAGTCAGGAAGAATAGGAACCAAAACTTGGAGAAAATTTAAAGACCAAGTGCAGGACTGCCTACAAAGGTAAAATAATTTTTAATTGGTCTTAGGTAAACTTCTGACAAATTCTTTCATTCTCAATTCCAACTACTGACTATTAATCTATGTCCCATATTGTCTGTCAGACATTTTTAAATGAAGATATATCCTCTGAAATATTACAGGACCACGTTTTAAAACTTTATGCATTTATGTCTAGAATGTGTACACTTGAGTGGTGGTTTCTTAAAATCACAGCATGACAATTATTTATGAATAGTGTTCCTCCCAAATCAGAGGAATTCACATGCAAATATAGGTAAGTTGCCCATAGTTGTCCCAAATTTTTGAAAGGCATCAGTGAAATGTAAAAGAAGCAGCTTAGAAGTTTCCAACCCTTTAAGTCTTAAATGAGTACTTGAAATGTGATATTGAAACAAGAGGACAGCTGGATTACTTACGTTTAAGAGTAGTTGAGCCAGGTGCAGTGGCTCACACTTCTAATCCCAGCACTTTGGGAGGCCAAGGTGGGTAGATCGTTTGAGCCCAGGGATTTGAGGCCATGCTAGGAAACATACGGAGACCCTCTCTCTACAAAAAATACAAAAATTAGCTGGACTGGGTGGAACATGCCTGTGGTCCCAGCTGTTTAGAAGGCTGAGGCGGGAGAATCACTTGAGCCCTGGGGGTTGAGACTGCAGCGAGCAGAGATAGCAATACTGCGCTCTGGCCTGAAACATGGCAAGATCATGTAAAAAAAAAAAAAAAAAAAAAAAAGAAGAGTTGAGGGTAAAGATAACTAATCATGAGAAGGACCATTTATTTTATGTCGAATAATGAAAAGTTTTCACTTTTTTCATTATTCCAAATTTGAAGTTTGTATGTCTTAAACAATGCTGATAATCATGCCACTGTATTTAGAATCATTGTTAAACAGTTCTTATCCCATCTGGAAAGATTGTAAAATGTGTATGTTATAATGTCAGTATTATATATATTTTTTATTTATGGATGCTACAATTGTGTTCTTCCCCTATCTATGACTCTGCTTAGATTGGTGTGCAGGCCAAATCTGGTTACTTCTCACGCTCTGATTTAAGAAACTTTATATTTATTTCTGATAGTGATGCACACCATTATGTCAAATTTAGAATACACAGCTATTAACTTTATTGCTCCCCAGATCAAAGTCAGCAGTTTTTCAGTTTGTTGGATTTACAACCCATCCTTGTAAGACTTGACATTACTACGTTCATCAGACAACAAACAGAAGGAATCAATATTATTAAAAAATGGATGGCAGGGAAAAAATTCAACTCTAGAACAGAGGTTGGGTTAAACGTTAAAATACTTACCTTAAACATCTTATTTCTCTATTTTAAAATCTAAGAATCCAAAGTATATTCTCATACTTCCAAGCTACATTCATGTCTTTTGTTAGGAGTTAAAATTGGATACAGTTTGATTCTGTGTTCAACTCAGAAAAGTTTTCAAAAAATATGTGTCTGATAGCTCAACAGAAACATAAAATACTGAGAATATTCTATTTTAGAATAAGAGTTTACTAGCTTCAACCCTGACACAGATGTTACCTCATAATAATTATAACCATTTTTTCTTACTTTCTGATTTATTAACATGACATTTTCTAATTTGAAGACTCAGTAGTTCCAGCTGAGCTTATTCTCAGCATCTAAAATTTTAGTGTCAAAAGATTACCAAATGATTATTTAGTCAGAATCTATTTCAAAATTGTGTAATTTTAAACAAGATATCTAATTCACTTTTTTTGTTTCGAATATATTTTTTCACATGTACTATAGATCCTATGGTGACGAAATATTAAATAATTTAGTGACTTTTTTATATATCCAGAAAACATTGGCTTTTTTTTGAAGAAAAGGTTTTTAGTGAATATCAGAGACCCACATTTACCTGGCTTACTCCAGAACTACAATATGTGACTTTTTCACAGCAAACACCGCATCTCTGAAAACTTATTTTCCTCCTAATATTTTAATGATTCCTTTCCTGAATCCTCATAGTAGCCATCTCAAATTTAATTATTGCATTCTTTTCAATGTCTTATTTCTAAATCAAATGTTCTCCAACTCGCTGTCTTCATATCCTTACTTCCCTGCTTTTATTCTGTCCTTCTCAGCTATAGCAATTCTACATATGATGTAAGAGTCAATAACTAGCCATGTTTTGCTCTGACCAAATTATCAATGACCTCTTCATAGCATTTCCTGTGTCAACTAACCGGGCATTAACCATATAGGTATTAATTATGTAGAAATAGGTATAATAATAACATACATATTTGTATACTATTTTAGTTTGCTAAGAGCCTTTATATGTTTTCTAATTTGATTGTCACAAATGAATACAGTCATGACTGCATGCATGAACAAATTAATGGATGTCATTAATATGTGGAAAGCAATAAATATATGGTAATTGTTTAGAAAACTTCTTTTAACTTAAGCTCTGATAATGTTTAGTTCAACCTAATGCATTTTGAATCTATTACTGTTGAAAAGTGAAACAGTGTTAGGAAAATTACAAGGTCCAGTGTCTACCCTCAATTTCTAAATGAGAGTAAAAGTCATAGAGTTAGACTTGGATTTAAACCTACCAAGGTCACCTAGGAGCTCTCATAATTAGGGGAATGGATTGTTTTTCTTCTCTGAAATAAAATTTCCCTTCTAGCAGTAACGAACACATGGATTTTACCAAAAATTAATAAGATTGAAAAATCTATATCAAAAACAGGCTATACTATTTTTTTTTTTTTTTTTTTTAAGATGGAGTTTCACTCTTGTCGCCCAGGCTAGAGTGCAATGGCTCAATCTCAGCTCACTGCAACCTCCACGATTCTCCTGCCTCAGCCTCCCAAGTAAGTGGGATTACTAGGTAATTTTTGTATTTTAAGTAGAGATGGGGTTTCACCATGTTGGCCAGGCTGGTCTGGAACTCCTGACCTCAAGTGATCTACCCACCTTGGCCTCCCAAAGTGTGTACAATCTTTTATCTTTAATTAACATTTATAATTTAACATTTGTTAACATAATTTTTGGGCTGTTATCTAAGTTTTTAATTGTATGTGTCCTGAGTCCATTTTCCTTATCAGCACCTGAAGATGACGTTCTTTTCAGAGGTCCTGTTCAATAAAATGGAGAAAATATTTAGAAGTTTCTCTGTATATAGCTGAATAATAGAGTCTCATTGATGTTGGTGCAATGATGATGGTGTGTGATCCATTAGGTTCTCTCTAGCTAAGTAATGCTCCTGTACACCAACCTCACAGCATCTGTCGTCCAAATTTCTTTCTCAGCTAAATTGCAAATTAGTACATATTCTGAACCTTCCGGTCATTTTTTCAAGTAGTCAAGCCTCAAATACCAACAGTCTATATTACCTTTTATTGAGCTGATATGCCTTCTCATGATCTTAGGATTCTGTCACTAGAGAAGGGCTTAAAAGTAAGCTTCTTTCTCAGACATGCAAATTACAGTGCAGATGGTTAAGTGCACCTCGTTATGCTATCTTTGGAAAAGACAAGGAGAATGGTGACCCATAGAATTAATAATAGGTGAAACAAATTAAGCAATAACTTGCCAGGCCAAAAAAAACCAAAAAAACAAAAAACAAATAAAGTGAGCATCATAAGTAGAAGAAATTTTATTCCACACACAGTGAGGGTTGCACATGAATGTAGAAAAGAGAAGAGTTATAAAAAATGTAAAAATTCTCTTCTCATGTGGCTTTTCAAATCTCTAGGGAAAAAATAAACCATTTCATAAGCAATGAGGGAGAATCTGACTATCATTTGTGGAAGAAAAACTAGACCCTTCCTCTACACTAACCAAGATTAGAAAAGAAATACAAACACACTAGAATAAATGTTAATTCATCAATTTTATTACCTAATTTTGACATGTGATATCAATACAGAAAGGTAAATGAAATGATACGTACAGTTTAAGAAATTATTATAAAATAAACAACTATGGAACCACTCAGATCCAGAAATAGATCAGCGGAAATAGATGGGCTCCCAGAAGCCCATCATCTGCTCCTCCCCAATTACAACGCCATCCCTTCGCAGGAGGTAACTACTGGTACACCTTTTGTGATGAGCATGTACTTCAGTGTTTCTTTGGCTTTATCACATCTATGCATCCCTAAACAGTTCTATTTTCAACTTTATGTGTTTTGTAAGCATTGCTTCATTGTTTTCAAAATTATAGCCAGGAGATTGAGTTACACTGTTTTCTACATCTTTATTTTGCACATTTTCATTGCTGAGTAATATCCCATTAAAACAATATACTAAAACAGTAATCCTCAAAGTGTGGTCGGCTGATCTCTTGTGTTCTCAAATCTTTTTCAGGGGGTCCACAAGGTCAGAACTATTTTTATTATAATACTATAATGCTATTTGACTTTTTTTATTGTTTCATTTGCATGAATGTCGCAAAGTAACAAAGCAGGTAACACAGCTTCTGACTTAACATGAATCAATGCAGTGGCAACAAACCGTCACAGTAGCCACCATGCAATAGTTTAAACTGTGAACTAAACTCATGACTTTTTCATGAAACACTATTTTTACTAAAATCATCACTGACAGTTGCGTGTAATCCCAACACTTTGGGAGGTCAAGGCTGTTGGATCACTTAAGCCCAGGAGTTCAAGACCAGTTTAGGCAACATGGCAAAACCCTGTCTCTACAAACAAACAAAACGAAAATTACCCCGGCACGGTGGTGCATACCCATAGTTCTAGCTACTTGAGAGGCCACGGCAGAAGGATCACCTGAGTCCAGGGAGGTCGAGGCTGCAGTGAGCCATGGTCGTGCCACTGCACTCCGGTCTGGGGGATAGAGTAAGACCGCAACTCGAACAAAACAAAAACAGATAGATAGATAGATAGATAGATAGATAGATAGATAGATAGATAGATAGATACATACATACATACATACATACATACATACAAACATACATAGATAGACACACACATATTCTCAAGTCTAAACTATATATATAATGTATATAATATATGTAATTTCTAATGAGATAAATAATTATATGAATCAGTGCACTACAATATATTTTAATTTCATTCTTAAGTGGTACTTGGGTTTTTTCCAATAGGGTTGTAACGAACATTTCTTTGAAGATTATGGTACATGTTTCTTGGTACACATGTGCAAAAATTTCTCTGAGATACTTACCTAGAAGCAAAATTACTGAATTACCTTATCTCCTATTGCTAGGTAATTATTTTTAGAAATACTTTATATAGTCTGAATACTAGGCCTTTTCACATTAGGTATATTATGAGTATTTTCTCTCATTCTGTTTTTTTCTGTCAATTTTTCTTACTAAAACATTGTTTATATGATACTGAGTTAGGAAAGATCCTTTCCAAAAAAAAAATAAGGGCAGGAAATAAAACCATAGAAGATTGATAAATCTGAGTACAAGGATTTTTTAAAAAATCATATTATTAAAATACCAATATACATAGTCTTCGGAGGGTGTATGTGTCAAGGAATTTATCCATTTCCTCTAGAATTTCTAGTTTATTTGCGTAGAGGTGTTTATAGTATTCTCTGATGGTAGTTTGTATTTCTGTGGGATTGGTGGTGATATCCCTTTTATCATTTTTCATTGCATCTATTTCATTCTTCTCTTTTCTTCTTTATTAGTCTTGCTAGTGGTCTATTAATTTGTTGATCTTTTCAAAAAACCAGCTCCTGGATTCATTGATTTTTTGAAGGGTTTTTTTGTGTCTCTATGTCCTTCAGTTCTGCTCTGATTTTAGTTATTTCTTGCCTTCTGCTAGCTTTTGAATGTGTTTGCTCTTGCTTCTCTGGTTCTTTTAATTGTGATGTTAGGGTGTCCACTTTAGATCTTTCCTGCTTTCTCTTGTGGGCATTAGTGCTATAAATTTCCCTCTACACACTGCTTTAAATGTGTCCCAGAGATTCTGGTATGTTGTGTCTTTGTTCTCGTTGGTTTCAAAGATCATCTTTATTTCTGCTTTCATTTCATTATGTACCCAGTAGTCATTCAGGAGCAGGTTGTTCAGTTTCCATGTAGTTGAGTGGTTTTGAGTGAGTTTCTTAATCCTGAGTTCTAGTTTGATTGCACTGTGGTCTGAGAGACAGTGTGTTATAATTTCTGTTCTTTTACATTTGCTGAGGAGTGCTTTACTTCTAAATAAGTGGTCAATTTTGGAATAAGTGGGGTGTGGTGCTGAGAAGCATGTATATTCTGTTGATTTGGGGTGGAGAGTTCTGTAGATGTCTATTAGGTCCACTTGGTGCAGACCTGAGTTCAATTCCTGGATATCCTTGTTAATTTTCTGTCTCGTTGATGTGTCTAATGTTGACAGTGGGGTGTTAAAGTCTCCCATTATTATTGTGTGGGAGTCTAAGTCTCTTTGTAGGTCTCTAAGGAGTTGCTTTATGAATCTGGGTACTCCTGTATTGGGTGCATATATATTTAGGATAGTTAGCTCTTCTTGTTGAATTGATCCCTTTACCATTATGTAATAGCCTTCTTTGTCTGTTTTGATCTTTGTTGGTTTAAAGTCTGTTTTATCCAAGACTAGGATTGCAACCCCTGCCTTTTTTTGTTTTCCATTTGCTTGGTAGATCTTCCTCCGTCCTTTTATTTTGAGCCTATGTGTGTCTCTGCACGTGAGATGGGTTTCCTGAATACAGCACACTGATAGGTCTTGACTCTTTATCCAATTTGCCAGTCTGTGTCTTTTAATTGGAGCATTTAGCCCATTTACATTTAAGGTTAATATTGTTATGTGTGAATTTGATCCTGTCATTATGATGTTAGCTGGTTATTTTGCTCGTTAGTTGATGCAGTTTCTTCCTAGCCTCGATGGTCTTTACAGTTTGGCATGTTTTTGCAGTGGCGGGTACCAGTTTTTCCTTTCCATGTTTAGTGCTTCCTTCAGGAGCTCTTGTAGGGTAGGCCTGGTGGTGACAAAATCTCTCAACATTTGCTTGTCTGTAAAGTATTTTATTTCTCCTTCACTTATGAAGTTTAGTTTGGCTGGATATGAAATTCTGAGTTGAAAATTCTTTCCTTTAAGAATGTTGAATATTGGCCCCCACTCTCTTCTGGCTTGTAGAGTTTCTGCCGAGAGAGAGCCACTGTTAGTCTGATGGGCTTCCCTTTGTGGGTAACCCGACCTTTCTCTCTGGCTGCCCTTAACATTTTTTCCTTCGTTTGAACTTTAGTGAATCTGACAATTATGTGTCTTGGAGTTGCTCTTCTCAAGGAGTATCTTTGTGTCGTTCTCTGTATTTCCTGAATTTGAATGTTGGCCTGCCTTGCTAGGTTGGGGAAGTTCTCCTGGATAATATCATGAAGAGTGTTTTCCAAGTTGGTTGCATTCTCCCTGTCACTTTCAGGTACACCAATCAGACGTAGATTTGATCTTTTCACATTGTCCCATATTTCTTGGAGGCTTTGTTCATTTCTTTTTATTCTTTTTTCTCTAAACTTCTCTTCTCACTTCATTTCATTCATTTGATCTTCAATCACTGAAACCTTTTCTTCCAGTTGATCGAATTGGCTACTGAAGCTTGTGCATTCGTCACGTAGTTCTCGTGGTGTGGTTTTCAGCTCCATCGGGTCCTTTAAGGACTCCTCTGCATTGGTTATTCTAGTTAGCCATTCATCTGATCTTTTTTCATGGTTTTTAAGTTCTTTGCGATGGGTTCGAACTTCCTCCTTTAGCTCACAGAAGTTTGATTGTCTGAAGCCTTCTTCTCTCAACTCGTCAAAGTCATTCTCTGTCCAGCTTTGTTCCATTGCTGGTGAGGAGCTGCGTTCCTTTGGAGGAGGAGAGGTGCTCTGATTTTTAGAATTTCCAGTTTTTCTGTTCTGTTTTTTCTTCATCTTTGTGGTTTTATCTACCTTTGGTCTTTGATGATGGTGACGTACAGATGGGGTTTTGGTGTGGATGTCCTTTCTGTTTGTTAATTTTCCTTTTAACAGGCAGGACCCTCAGCTGCAGTTCTGTTGGAGTTTGCTGGAGGTCCACTCCAGTCCCTGTTTGCCTGGGTATCAGCAGCGGAGGCTGCCGAACAGCGAATATTGCTGAGCAGCAAATATTGCTGTCTGATTGTTCCTCTGGAGGTTTCGTCTCAGAGGGGTACCCAGCCATGTGAAGTGTCAGTCTGCTCCTACTGGGGGGTGCCTCCCAGATAGGCTACTCAGGGGTCAGGGACCCACTTGAGGAGGCAGTCTGTCCGTTCTCAGATCTCAAACTCCGTGCTGGGAGAACTACTGCTCTCTTCAAAACTGTCAGACAGGGACATTTAAGTCTGCAGAGGTTTCTGCTGCCTTTTGTTCAGCTATGCCCTGCCCCGAGAAGTGGAGTCTACAGAGGTAGGCAGGCCTCCTTGAGCTGCAGTTGGCTGCACACAGTTCGAGCTTCCCGGCTGCTTTGTTTACCTACTCAAGCCTCAGCAATGGCAGGCGCCCCTCCCCCAGCCTCACTGCCACCTTGCAGTTTGATCTCAGACTATTGTGCTAGCAACGAGCAAGGCTCCATGGGTGTGGGACCCTCTGAGCCAGGCGCGGGATATAATCTCCTGGTGTGCTGTTTGCTAAGACCATTGGAAAAACACAGTATTAGTGTGGGAGTGACCTGATTTTCCAGGTGCCGTCTGTCACAGCTTTGCTTGGCTAGGAAAGGGAATTCCTGACCCCTTGCGCTTCCCAGGTGAGGCGATGCCTCACCCTGATTCGGCTCACGCTGGGTGTGCTGCACCCACTGTCCTGCACCCACTGTCTGACAAGCTCCAGTGAGATGAACCCGGTACCTCAGTTAGAAATACAGAGATCTCCTGTCTTCTGTGTCGCTCATGCTGGGAGCTGTAGACTGGAGCTGTTCCTGTTTGGCCATCTTGGACTTATCACCATTTGATTCAAGTGTTTTGAGAAGCTTAAATGTATTTTTAGAAGGAAATTATTTTATTCAATCCAGTGATAGATACAACAATAACATTTCCACAATTTTGTTTTAGTAAATAACAAAAACAATGACTTGAGTGCCTGTGATTTATAACAAAAGGGTATTCTTTTTCACAGAATCTATGAATTTCATAAAGTTTATTTCATTTTAAAGATATTTCAAAACATTTCTGAGAGTTCCTTAAAACTCATTTTGTTTATTTCTTTTAATATTACTGAAGAGGAGTTAATGTTGGCTTTATAATTTCAAATTTTAATATCTTAGTTTACTGTTTACAATTTTACAATACATTTATAGATGGAATACTAAAGGGTCAGGCATGATTATATATATATTTTTAACGAACTTAATTCTGAGAGGTTCTTTTCTAATCCTGATTTTAGTTTTCAGATGTCACACAATTAGTGAATTCCAGAGGCAGGATTCTTCATTGTTATTCATAAAAAATTTTGGTATAAAAATGAATGAATTATAAAATATAAAAATGTTTGGTTCCTGGAAAACATTGAGATTCTACAATGCATTTCTTATGTAAATAACACTGTTTCTTTATTGAAATAGTTTTCTACTAGCTGATTTTAGAGGCCCTACCTTGCTGATTTTTCATGTTGTATGAATATAGCAAGGGATTTGGATGCAAGGAGTTTATTTCAAGATGTAAATATAATCATGTCAGTAACCAGTTTTCTAACAATTCTCCTTAATCTGCCTTAGCTAGTAGTTATTCTACAAATTTAAGAAATGCAGTGTTTTTGTTATAGATTTTAAAGTTAGCCTGGAACATTTGATACACTAGTCTCCACTACTGTAAAACAAAATAAAATGAACAAATAAACAAAAATCTCTTCCATATGATGTAAAAACAGCCAGAGAAGACTCTTTGGTTAAGATAGTTTCATGTGAAGTAATGTGTAAATTCGCTGTAAGCATTATGACAGACAGGAAAGAACTAATTTACATTTTGAGAAAGCTTCTGCCTTGCAAAGGAATTTTCTTAAGATAATTTGTATTCATATCTAAATAATAAAAGGCTCAAGATTAAGCACTGGAATTGCCATTTATAGTGTAAAGAAAAATGCAATCTTGAGCCATTTATGTTAGTTCCATTTTTTTTTTTTATTTTTCTGAATCATCATCTTCTTTGAACAATTATTCAAAAGATAGTGTTTTCTTTTTGTCCTTTGTGGGGTATCCTGCGCTTTGGCTGATGATTAAAAACCTGCCATTTCCTTTCATCCTCATTAGCATACTCATTGTTCTCCTTAGTTGGGTGCTTTTTGGATGCCATCCTTGTCCTGCAGAGAGCTGCAGGATTCCATCAGATCTGTTCAGGCACCTGAGCCTAATTAAGGAAGTTCTCACTTCTCTTTTTATCATAGATTTGATAAATGAGGATGTTTACAGCTAAGTGTCTTAGGATTGAGTGAATACTTTAAAATAGATCAATGCTAAAGATCATAAAGCATATCACATATCCACATTACATATCTAATAAAGAGAAATAGAACATGACACATTTTCATGTAAGAATCTGTTTATTCATAGTGCCCATGATGTGGTAGAGACTGCATGCCATTTATAGCGTTATAGTTGGAGTAGTGTAAACTGCTACATTGTGAACTATAACAACTGAACTGAAAAAGAAAAGAACAAAGACAGAAACAGTCCTGGACAATGGAAATTAAAGAAGAGTGATTTGTATTCTTTTGATCCTCCGGTTTCTCTATGTCGGCTTCTCTTTGGTTACCTCAAGTATCATTAGTATTACAGTTGTAAGAACTCTGGCTAATGTAAGCAGCAAAGAAATGTGCTGGAAGAATATCTGATCCCTTAGAAAATCATTGGGGAGGCTGAAGAGCCCAGCTAGAGAAAAGGGCATGCAGGAAGCAAAGAATGCTAAGCACACAAGCCCGGAGCCTCCTCAAGTTAAGGAGGTTGCTAATAGCACGACCAGCACAGGATGTGAGATAATCAGTCTTCCACTGGACTCTCATTCTGGACATTGCTATGAGTTCTTTATTACCTATTTTAACATCTTCGTATTATTTTTTCAAGACTCAAAATCCAGGCAGGATTAAATAGTTGGCTTGACCCAGGTCACAGCCTACACTGCAGTTATCAAGGAACAGACAGAGAGCCCTCGGTGCTGTCAGCCTTGTGATGGGGAAATGGACCCTGCTTCCCCAAAAGGCATTTGCAAGGAGGGATTTGAAACTGGAAGGATCTCAAGTGTTTAGTCGAAAGACCATGGCCCATGTCAGTCATCACTGTCATATCCACAGATAATAGAGTGTTGGAAAGAAGCTGAGAAACAACCTGGGTTCTATTCAAATTCAGTTCTTAGTGTTGTGTGACCTTCTCTAAGCCTGGGTGTCCTCAGTTTTAAACTGGGATAATATTGTTTTGCCCAAAATATCTCATTTCATTGTAAAGAGTGAAATGAGATAATTTATGCAAGGTTTCTTTCCATTTCTTTTCATTCCAAAAAATTTATAGGTAGTAATGGTCTACCTGTGTGAGCAAAATACAAAAAAAAAAGGAAGAAGTTAATAAGTTAATAATAACCATTTATTTGCTAAGAAATATATAAATGTGAGGTATGAGGTATTATCAGCAACGTTTTTATTTAAAAATATATAGAAAAGATATATATTTATTTTTCATTGTTTGAAAGTTAAGACAAATGGATGAAAAAAACAGTGCTATGATAAATATGAAACAATTAGGAGAGCAGAAAATTAATGTTGAGGTATTCCCCTGCATTGGGGATCTTTCTCCCAATCCAACTATCCATTTTTGTGTGTGAGGGAGTTGACATTCTTATAAAACCCCAACTGTAGAACGAAGTGACTGGCCTAACAATGGCTCTTTCACCGAACGTGACCCATCAGAACTAATTCCTAAAGCTTTTAAACTTAGAACCATCTGTAAAATGTGCTGCTGGTCAGAAGCAGTACTGTGTGGTATGCATCATTGTTGAAGATATATTCAGTGTGTCTGCTCATTGTGGTGCTAGGGTAATCCCTGAAGCAGGAAAGGAAAGTCCACATCTTTAGCAAGTACTTTTTCCATAGAGGATTAAACATTCCTTCCTGGAAGAGATCAGGTGTAATCACTGTGCTGCCAGATTACTGGCTGGGCCATCTCAGGAGTTTTCAGTATTTGTCTCTGCTATTTGCATATTAGAAACTCAGGAGTACCAGTATCCAGACCAGCTTGCTGAGTTTTCAGCCTCTGCTATTTGCATTTTGGAAACTCAGGAGCACCAGTATCCAGATTGTCTTGTTGAGAAAAGCCTATGTTGTTCAGCCCATGAACCACTTCAGTCTCCTCTGCATGGCCATTTCCCATATGCTATGGCTAGGGCAAAAGCTGACTGACTTTGACCAGATAGGTCATCTTGTCAGCCAGATTATCGACTCTACATAGTGGATGCTGTCTAGTGGACATTTGCACAGAAAGTGGATGTTTTCACATTGTTGCCCATTTTGAGAGTTTCAGCCACATATCATTACCCCAGAATCGCAATCTTGCAACATTAACATTTGATGGTGACCCTTATGTCACCAGTTCTCCCAGAGATGCAGTATTGTTTTCGGATTACCATCCTGGTGGGGAGGGGTCGTTTCAGTGGCTTCCATTTAGTCCTTCTACCATAAGAGTTTTCACTCCATATATCAGGAAACGAATATGGATTCTGCCAATAATTAAATATATATCTTCTTAGTTCGCATTTTGTATCTGTAGAAATAACAGCCAGTTGGGTCTACAGTTCCGTAGGATTTACTATGAGATGCAGTTGGGTCAAGACTTTCCATAGTGCTCAGGATGGTCATAGTTCTGAGCCTCAATTAATGAGCCCCAGTACATAGCTTTGTTTTCTCACTGAGATGCCCTCTAGACATGGCTTCAAGGAAGGTTTTATAATATAACCCTTGTTGTGAGCTGAAATGTGGCCCCCAAATCCTAGCCCTGAACATCTCAGGATGTGACTGACTGTATTTCGAGATGAGACCTTTATAGAGGTAATTAAGCTAAAATGAGGCCATTAGGGTGAGTCACACTCCAATCTGACTAGTGTCCTTATAAGATGAGGAAATTTGAACACATTAAAAACACACACCAGGGGCACTCATGCACGGAGTGACAACCACATGAAGAAACAGAAAGAATGCAGGAATCTGCAGGCCAAGGAGAGGGGTCTCAGGGGAAGCCAGAGCTGCTGACACCTTGCTGTCGGTCTTTGAGACTCCAGAATTGTAAGATATAAATTTCTGATTTTTAAGCCACTCAGCCTGAGGTATTTTGTTGTGGCACCCAAGCAAATTAATACAATTCTGCTGCTATAACAAAGCAGCACTAACTTAAGTGCTGCATATATATATATATATATATATATATATATATATATATGATAACACAAATGAGTTATCTTATATTTCTACAGGTTAGATGTCCAAATGTGTCACCCTGGGCTAAAATCAAGTTGTCAACGTGGCTGCATTCCTTTCTGGATACTCTAGGAGAAAATCTATTTCTCTGCCCTTTCCAGCTTCTAGAGGCCACCCACATCCTTTGTTCTGTGGTCTTCTTTCTTGCATCATCAAAGTCAGCAACCTTGCATCGTTCTGGCCATTCTTCCCCTCATTACATTATTTTCTCTGAATCTCTTCTGCCTCCCTCTGCTGCTTTTAAAGATCCTTGTGACTGAATTGGACTCACTCATATAATCCAGAGTAACTTCCCTCTTTTAATGTCATCTGAACGAGCCCATTGTAACCATAATTCCATGTGTAATCTTAGTTTTCCTTTGCCCTGTAATGTAATATTGTTCTGGGAATTCAGATGTGGACACCTTTGTGAGGAGGGCATTAGTCTGCCTACCCCAGTCCTAATAGCTAAGATGCTGGGTTGCTTCTCTAGGGGCCGATCATTGAAGAAGTAGTGGATTTTTGAACTGGTACAGTTTTTGAACTAAGATGTTATGAATCTCCACAATAATGAGAATTAGGTTTCTCCTCAGCAGACTTGAACATTTTTGGATTGTATAAGCCAAGTAGCTCATTAAGAGGCCACCCAACATTCCTAGACCATAAATATTTATTTCATTTTTAGGTAATTAATATGGAGGATTCACTCTCCTCTGTCTCACAAATCTCCTGCTAGCCTACCAGTCTGCCAAACCTAATCAGGAACCAGAGGTCAGGGGAGTCATTTGATTCTGTCCAAAAAGATCATCCTTTTGGAGAAAACAAAAGGGTGAAGAGTGGATCTGGAGTGATAAATGAGAAAAGTTCTATCCCCCAACAGAGACCAGGAGACAGAAGTCTTATCCTTCCTAATGACTACTTTTCAAAGGAATGGCTTTCAGGTCCTTGAAAAAAAATACTCCCAGGTCATTGAAGAAGACACTCCTAGGTGATAGGAAACATATATACATCTCAAAAGGATAGAGAAATAATTCAATGTTGTAAGCCCTTTTTTAGTAAATGTTCTATTAAAGGAGTCCGGGGACTTATTGTCAGGTATTGGCTAGAACAAACAGTAAATTCAATGACAGTCCTGAGCTATCCTAGGCAGGAACCCAAAAGGGGGTTGGGTGGTCTCAGAGATATGGCCTTGAGCTGCTAGAAGCCTTGTTAAGGTTTGGTGATTGCTTCTTGAAGAGTAGATAATAGAAAACAAAACGAGTTTGGTGAAGTCTCTCAGTGCAGGTGTTTAAGTGGAGTGTCCCTATCAATCATTTTTACAGTTCTCATTACCACATTAGAATTTGCCAATGAGTGGTGCTCCCAAGTGATTTGGGAAGCAAAAGAGAAAAAGACATGTATTCTCTGATAGCAGGAAGATCAAACAGCAAATGACAGGTTTGAGCTTTGGAAGTGCAAACCAAAAAGTATCTGAGACAGGTCTCAATTAATTTAGATGTTTATTTTGCCAAGGTTAAGGACATTCCTGGAAAAAATGAACACAGTCACAGAAACCATCTCTGGTCTGTGACTTTCTCCATAGATGATATTGAGGGCTTCCATATTTAAAGGGGAAAAGCTGACTGGAGGAGGGTATGGCAATGCACATCTTGCAAGAGAAATGGAGCAGGTAGAGGGATAATCAATCATATATTCCTCTCTTGCTCACTAAATCTACACTTTGCATAAGATAAAGTGAACATGAAATAGCTACCTGTGGAGATATTTAACCTTTTATCTGTAGCTATCTGCTTAGGAACAAAATGAAAGGTAATTTCAGCTTTCAACTTAAATTCTTTTTTCTTTTGGCAAAGTTAATTGGGTTCCTGAGTTCCTATTTCCCTTTCACAAAGGCCATCTTGGAGCTTTAAGCAGTAGTTTATGGAGATATTTGGAGGGGAACTGAAGATGTATAGAATAAGCAATTATGTATGTTTATGAAGGCGACGTGAGCCATGTGGCTTAGAACATCACAGAACATACATTCTAGTTCATGCTCTCTCACTAGCCAGGTGGCCCTAGATAATTTATTCAAGAGTCTTTAAGTTTTCTCATTGCAAAATAAAGAGGGTTTGCTATGAGAATAAAAGGCAATCGGGCATATGAAATTGCTATAAAGTCAATGGTATCCACCTTGCAACAATCCTTTTGGCTATAGCATAAATTCTTTTCTCTCATTTGGGCCCCTAGGCTGACATTCCATCATGATTTCACAGACTTCTGGTTAAGAATTTGCTTAATGCATTTTGCTCTGGCTTAAATTAATTGACACTTTTACAAGTTTGAAACTCATTTAAACTACATGGGTCTTTCCTACAATTCTGAAGCCATAGTTCCCTAAACACAGTGCAATGTGCATTTATGTTTTTAAAATAGCACATAAAAGTGATCTCATATTCACTTTCATTTCCTTGCATTTTTGTATCTTCTTAGTTAAGACATCATCACGAGGAAAGGGTGAATTGTCAAATGTTGCTTGCAGGAGACAGCTGATCTTGCAAGGAAATTAGTCATTCGTATTTTGGGCATATGTTATCCATTCTACTTCCCTAACTGTCTAAGGACAGTGTGACTTTTAGGGTCTTAGGTATGCTTACTTGCCTTTTAGTGTGAGGTTGTATATTAATCTAGCTAGGAGCTGGGTTACGTCTAACATTTCCTGTAGATACAGCTGTCAGAAGCTAAAATTACCTGTAGTGTCTCTTTGTTGCCTCTACTGTATTTAGGTTCCCCTACAAACTTCCCTTTCAAAAAAAACCTTGCATCTCTTTCACCTGTCATCCACTGTTATCATACGGGAGCTCTGTTGACGGAGGGGTGAGATGTGGGGGCGGGGTGAGGTGTTCTATAGTCTTCTGATTAAATCTCAGTCTTTTAGTGGGCCCTTGTCCCCGGACTGTGACCTGTGACCTTCATGAGCGTTTCTAAACTTTTTTTTTTTTTTCCTTTTTCTCTGCCAAGTTGAACTGCAGCTGGAAGACTAGAGGGAGCGAGCATTGAATAGTTACCCTTCAGCTGCCTAGCTAAGATAACGCTCTGATAAACTCTTTTCACTGGGGAGTAAGCCTTTGTTACAGGAAATGCTCTACGTATATTTTAAAATCATTAGATTTCCCTTCTCTCTGCCAGGGACATCAGGTGATATTTTTTGGTATATACTGTGAGAACCAAGTTGTATTCCTGGAAGTAAAGCCTGTAAGTGTTTAGGGGGCGCCTTGAAGACTGCAGCCCCCAGGAGGCTCCAGTGCTCACACTGGTCCATACTCAGCCTCTTGCCAAATTCCTGCTTAGGTGTTCCTGCCAGTTTGTGGTTCCACTGGCATCAGCTGCAGGTGATCTGGTGTCTGCTGTGATGCTCTGTAATCTCCTCTCTCTCCCGGTTTCAGGCTGGTAGTTTCCTTGAGACCTCAGTTCTCTGATGGGTCCAAGACGTCATTGATTTTTAGTTTCTCCAGCTTTTTTCGTGGTGTCGAGATATGAGTGATGACTTCCAAGCTCTTTAGATGTTGAAGCTGCAACTAGAAGTCTTCCATGAACTTTCTTTTAAAAATAGACAGTATGGCATAGTGCAGTGTTTCTCAAAAGAAAATAAATATATTGATCTCTATACCTTATTAAGTGTTGATATATTATTTTATTATAATTTTATGTTAAAATAGAGAAACACGAATTTAGACCTAAACACTGTAAGCCTACAGTTCTTAACCAAGTTTTTGAAATATAATGCATATGTTAATTAAATTTTAAAATCTCGCAAAAAAATTAAAATTTTAACTAACACCACCAATTTAAGATTGTGTGGGCAAGCCAAAATATTATTATAGGTTTAATAGAAGGAAGATACTATTCAATTCTGATACTGTCCTTGGTCTGTTTCTGTATTTGACTTCAATAATTCTCATATAGGAAAGTTCTGTTTAATAAGGCTATATAAAATGTTACTGGTACCTTCACAGTTTTCTGCTTATGATTATCAAAGAAAAAGCTCTGCCAATATGCAATTTTTCAATGTCAATTTTATTAAAGAATGTTTTGATAATTCTGTAAATGCTTTATAATCCCACAGCAATATGTGTCCGTTGCAGCATTATTAAAATCTGTATTTATATCACTATTTACTTATTGCTTTGAATTAAGAACATGAAAAATTTTATCTCGAAACTTTATCATATATATATCATACAATAAATAAGTCATAATGTATTAACTATATATTATGACTAACAACCTGCTGTAACTTTAGACATACAAAAATACCTCTTAATGAGTGTAAAATGTTAACTCTTCTTTTGAGTTCAGTATACCTGTACCACAGTGAGTCCTAGGACATTTGAATCAATTCTCTCAAGCCATTTGCCTATTTGATTATGAATCTCTGTTTGGTCACTGGGCATAATCTTACATGGACCTCATTCTAGACACATATATCCATAAGCAACAAAAATAAAGTAATTGGGATCCATCACAATAACTATGAACAAAGTAACTATCCACATGATCTGGAATTTGCCCATATTTGTGGCTTGTTTTCTGTATACTGTTTTTGATGGAGATATTATAGTCCCCTAATAATACATATACCTACTTCAGCTTAAGAAAAAACTATATTTTGCCAAATTTTGTAATCAGACTGGGTTTAAATACCAGCTCTGATGACTCATAACTCTGATCTCGAGAAATTTACTTACCATCTCTAAACATTAATTTCTCAATTAGGGAAGTGATATGACAAAGTTGCTGTGAAGTCAAATGAAGGAATGAATGCAAAATCCCAACCCTTTACATATTACCTCTGTTCTCAATTAATCATTGGCTTGAACTGAACATTTTTAACATGGTTCCCTGCTAAAGGTGTTTTTACATATAGTAAGACCTAATAGATAATATTATGTTACATAATCTATAATTATTATATATAAAACTATATAAAATTATATAGTACCTATTTAGACATATAAAAAGGGAAGTTTTTTAATGAAAAATTAGATTGGCTGAAGAGTGTGGAAATCATCACATAGGGAAGTGGTCAGCACTGTGGATATACACCAAACAGTATTACAGAGACATACTGAAAATAAAGCACACTGACAGAAAGAAACCTCATTAGGATAGAATTTTGGGAGATTGGTGTCTTGTTATTCCCAGAGTCTGACTTTTCTAATCACGTAGCATTGTCAGGGATATCTAAATTTTAAACTTCAGATTTTGTACAAAAAAACCTAAAAGGACTATATTTTAAAATAAGAAGCATGTACAAATAATTGTAAAGGAAAGAGTGTGAGTTTTGTAGTCTCCAGTTCTGTGTCAGTAAGAATTTGATGAGGAATAGCCAATAGCATTTATGCTGGTCCAGGCTGGATCAAATTGTGATCGTACTTCTAGTCTTCAAGCTGCCTGGTTAGAAATTATGCAGCTTACTTTGATGCCTGTCCTACTACTACTATTAGCCTTTTAGTGGTTACCTTAAGAATAACTGAATAATACTGTTACTTTGCATCTCTCAAAGACCGTGCGCTGTTCCCGCATACTTTCTTGCAGACGTATTGTCTTCTGAAGGATGGTGCCCATGGGCACAGCAATTTGGGGCATCTTTTGGTAGGAAGCATGATTTCTCCTGTTTGGGCACAAAAGAGTGACTACGGAATATAAGCTAAACACCTTCTCCCAGAAATATCAGTTGTAAAACTTAGCTCATTAATGTAATGTTGAACGTTTTCATGTGAGTCATACTTGAACTTCTTGAATGTGAGTAAATAACGGAGTTGAATTGTATAAAACCCTGATGGATGGCAGAAGGGAAAGAACATCCCTTTCATCTGATCCATGCCTGAGATTCCTTCCCTCTACTATACTACTGGAAATAAACAACTTGTCTGGTGCTCTAAAAATTAATGCTATTATCATTATAGAGAGAACAGGAGTGAGTGCTTTTAGGTTATTACTTGTTCTTACTAAGGCATCATATTCTTTCTTCACGTGTTTTGTGTTTGAGGCTAGGGATAAAGGTACAGGAAAAAGGATCTAAGAAAAAAACTCGAATCTCTAAACATGGAGTCTTTTTTTTTTTTTTTTTTTTTGAGGTGGAGTCTCACTCTGTTGCCCAGGCTGGAGTGCAGTGGTGCGATCTCTGCTCACTGCAACCTCCGCCTCCTGGGTTCAAGCAATTCTTCAGCCTCAGCCTCCCGAGTAGCTGGGATTACAGGCGCATGCCTGGCCAATTTTTGTATTTTTAGTAGAGACTAGTTTCACCATGTTGGCCAGGCTGTTCTAGAGCTCCTGACCTCAAGTGATCCAGCCACCTCGGCCACCCAAAGTGCTGGGATTACAGGCATGAGCCACCACACCTAGCCAAACATGGAGTCTTTACTCAACATTATAGTAACGTGAAAGAGGAGATCATGAGAATTAATGTATGTTTTAGAAGGCATAGATTACTTATAAAAAAGGAAAGATCAGGCTGGGCACGGTGGCTCGCGCCTGTAATCCCAGCACTTTGGGAGGCCAAGGCGAGCGGACCATGAGGTCAGGGGATCAAGACCATCCTGACCAACATGGCGAAACCCTGTCTCTACTAAAATACAAAAAATTAGCCGGGTGTGATGGCACACGCCTGTAGAACCTGGGAGGCAGAGGTTGCAGTGAGCGGAGATCACACCACTGCACTCCACCCTGGTGAGACAGCGAGACTCCATCTCCAAAAAAAAAGGAAAGCTCAATCTGCTGTAAATTATGTGCTTGTTTCAACAACCCTTGTTTCTTTTCCTTTTCACTTCTCTTTTTTTTTTAAAGCGGCCTAAATGGGGTGAAGAGTGAGTTATCTGACAAATTTAGATTTTGCAAACCTGTGCATTGATGAGAGTGCTATTGAAACACATTAAGAAAGATTTTCAACGCAGGAATGTGTCATTTCCTTTCTTCATGTACCAGATGCTGAAATACTATGAGATAAAGATTTTAGGTTTCAATTGTAAAGAGAGAGAAGTGGATAAATCAGTGCTGCTTTCTTTAGGACGAAAGGTAAAGAAAAAAAAAGGCTTATTTTAATGTTTTTTCCAGAATTGTTTCTATTGATTGTTATGTGTGTACTCTGTGTGTGTGTGTGCATGCATGTGTGTGATATATATTTGTGTGTCTGTGTGTGTATGATGAGATGAATGCTTTATTGTATCAGCAATAATTTGGTTTGGTTTTTTTCGATAATCAAAAAATAGGGATTTCTGCTAAATTTTCCATGAGTGAAAAACATATATGTTCACAAGTACATATGAAATACACTAAATGCTTTGTAGTTTGAACCAGCAATGGGGTTTTTTCATATAATTAAGCATATTTTGTTTAAAATACTGGTTTTATTCAAAGTATAATTTGACATATTTCACCTATTCTCCTTTCATAACTTTTCATGGAACATTTTTGGCTTTAATCTAATGCCTTTTATTATCTTCCCTTGATTATATAGCAAATATTGGCTGGGTATCTACTATATGCACTTCATTGAACTAGATGTGGGGAAAGGATACAAAAAATAAGATATAGTTCTTTTTGTGCTCCGGAATCTTATGATTTAAAACATATCCCCAAATAGGCATAATGTAATTTGAGCACCTTAAGTAGTATGAAAGTACTATAGATAATTACTAGCACCTTAAGTAGTATGAAAATGCTATAGATAATTACTATGAAAATATAGGCGAGGCCAAAATTACTTCTATGTGAAAAAAGTCTATCAAAAATAAATCTTCATGGAGATGCTAGAAATCTGATTAATCTTGAAGACTAAGTAAGATTCACACAGCATATAATGGGAGGTTGGCATTTGCACTGACCAGGTAAAAATACTTATAGAAAAACCATAGAACTGAGATTACAGATGTTTTATGCAGTGATTAGCCGTTTTATGCAGTGGGTAAGAGCTAATCTTCTGGGAGTAGACTGCCTGTGTTCAAATTCCAGCTCCCCTGCTCCCTAGTTGAGTAACTTGACTAGTTACTTACACATTTCAGTTCCCTAACCTGTAAAATGGAGAAAATACTACTTGTACCTCATGAAGATTCCGTGAGAACAAAATAAGAAAAGCTCATATTTAAAAAAAAAGTGATATTTTAAAATAACAGGGATTCATATATTGATGGTTTTCTGTGTACCAGGCAATTTACAAAAATTATTTTTAATTCTCGCAATAATTCTTTAAATTTATATTGTGATCATATTTTACATATCTAAAGAAAGTTCAATTCAAATAAGTTAAAATATTTGCCTAAGATCACACAGCTAAATGATGTCACAGTCAATACTCAAATCTAGATTTCAGATTCAAAAGTTGATGCTCTTTCTTCTTTGCTACCAAGGATGAATATCAGTGACATCAGGCACAATATAAATATTTCCATTTCTTACTAAAATCTGTCTTACAGACGGGTTCCTTAAGCATAAAGCTGTTAGTTTCACAAATAATCTTAATTTAATTTTCATTTTATATACACATTCAACTGCTGTTACAAAAATCAAAGTTATTATTTTATATAATAAGGAGGATCACAAGCTTATTATTTATTCCAAATGTTGAAGATAAAGTTGGCCTTAAGAATATGATGGGCCGGGCACGGTGGCTCACGCCTGTAATCCCAGCACTTTGGGAGGCCAAGGCAGGTGGATTACCTGAGGTCGGGAGTTCAAGACCAGCCTGACCAACATGGAGAAACCCTGTCTCTACTGAAAATACAAAATTAGCCGGGCGTGGTGGTGCATGCTTGTAATCCCAGTTACTCCGGAGTCTGAGGCAGGAGAATCACATGAACCCAGGAGGCGGAGGTTGTGGTGAGCCAAGATCACGCCATTGCACTCCAGCCTGGGCAACAAGAGCGAAACTCCATCTCAAAAACAAAAAGAAAGAAAGAAAAAAGAAAGAATATGATAAAAAAACTAAATAGGGAAAAATCTTAGGAAAACGAATGCATGTCAAGTATGAAAAGACAGATGGTAAATATGTATTAAACATAAAGAGCTGATTCACATGCTTAGGTAAAAGAAACCTGTGGGGATGTATAAGCAGTGAATATGAATAGATAATAACCCAAGAAGAACAATGTATGACAGACAATTACAGTGAAATCTCTCTCTTACATTAATAATAAAAAATAAAAATGAAAACCACTTTTAGGTATTATTTAACTCTTATCAAAATCTAAATGATTCTAAAATAAGCTTTATTATTCAATGGTAGTGAATTTTGCTTGAAACTGCCATATTCACATATAAGTCTGGAATATTTATAAATTTATGTTATCTTTTTAAAGATCACTAAGACAGTAGAGCCCAAGAAGTTCAAAATAGTTTTCCTTTCACTTTTTAGTTTCACATATGATGAATTATCCTAAAGAAACATTTTAAAAGAAGAAAGCTAAATTATGAAAATAATGGCCGGGGCAGTGGCTCACATCTGTAATCCCAGCACTTTGGGAGGCCAAGGAGGGTGGATCACCTGAGGTCAGGAGTTTGAGACCAGCTGGATGAACGCGGTGAAAAATACAAAAATGAGCTGGGCATGGTGGCAAACGCCTATAATCCCGCTACTCGGGAAGCTGAGGCAGGAGAATCACGTGAACCCAGGAGGCAGAGGTTTCAGTCAGCTGAGATCACACCATTACACTCCAGCCTGGGTGACAAAGCAAGACTCAATCTCAAAAAAAAAAAAAAAAAGGAAATATTTATAACATCATTATTTATATCAGTGAAGCATTGCCCCCTGGGAAAAGGAAAAAAAGTTTAAAAGAAAAAATTATATTTTAGAAAAATGGCTGTATTTTTTATTTAGAAAAATGGCTGTATAAATAAGATTTTATATATATATAAAATATATATAAAATAAGATTTTATATATATATAAAATATATATAAAATAAGATTTTATATATATATAAAATATATATAAAATAAGATTTTATATATATATAAAATATATATAAAATAAGATTTTATATATATATAAAATATATATAAAATAAGATTTTATATATATATAAAATATATATAAAATATATATAAAATAAGATTTCATATATATAAAATATATAAAATATATATAAAATATGATTTTTTATATATAAAAATATATATAAAATAAGATTTTATATATAAAATATATAAAATATATATAAAATAAGATTTTATATATATAAAATATGATTTTATATATATAAAATATATATAAAATATATATAAAATAAGATTTTATATATATAAAATATATATAAAAATATATAAAATAAGATTTTATATATATATGAAATGTAAATAAGATTTTATATATATATGAAATGTAAATAAGATTTTATATATTTGAAATATAAATAAAATAAGATTATATCTAAATATATATAAAATAAGATTTTACATATATGAAATATATATAAAATAAGGTTTTACGTATATATGAAATATATGTAAAATAAGGTTTTACGTATATATGAAATATATGTAAAATAAGGTTTTGCGTATATATGAAATATATGTAAAATAAGGTTTTGCGTATATATGAAATATATGTAAAATAAGGTTTTATATATATAAGCAAGTCTTTGCTACATAATAATTCAACACATATATATATGTTGTTTTATATATATATATATATATATATATATATATGTATGTGTGTTGAATTATTAGGTAGCAAACACTTGGAACCAACCCAAATGTCCCTCAGTGATAGACTGGGTAAAGAAAATGTGGCATATATACACCATGGACTACTATGCAGCCATAAAAAAGATGAGTTGATGTCCTTTGCAGGGACATGGATGAAGCTGGAAACCATCATTCTCAGCAAACTAACAGAGGAACAGAAAAAGAAACACTGCATGTTCTCACTCATAAGTGACAGTTGAACAGTGAGAGCACGTGGACACAGGGAGGGGAGCATCACACACCGGGGCCTGTCAGTAGGTGGGAGGCAAGGGGAGGCATAGCATTAGGACAAACTCCTAATGCATGTGGGACTTAAAACCTAGATGATGGGCTGATGGGTGCAGCAAACCACCATGGCATATGTATACCAATGTAGCAAACCTGCACGTTCTGCACGTGTATCCCAGAACCTAAAGAATAATAAAAAAAATTTCAAGTTTGAAAAATTCGTTTGAAATATTAAAATAATGAGGTGATTTTAAGGAAAACGCGTAATACCAAATGATACGTGCATGATGATATGAACTATGTTACAGGTATACATACATCCAAAGACTCGAGTTTCATTTAAAAAATTAAGGGTTTTTTTCCTTTATTAGGGTGATGAGATGACAGAAATTTCATCCTAACATATCTATAATATTATTAAAATGTTTTATAATAAAAACAAAAAAGTAAGGTATATGGTTCCCAACAAATTAACCTTGAAATTCTTTCATTATGAATTTCCTGTAAACTTTTCATCCACTTGATAAAATGCTGATATTACAGAAACGTGTTTCACTTCTCATGAGCACGTGCTTTTAATAGATTACACAAACTCCAAGGATTTTACAATCGTTTATCAGCACACTGACATTTAATAGGAAGAGTAACTTTATGTGAAGCTACTTTTTGTCCTAACTGTGGAACTGATATTAAAAGGCACACTTGAACAGTGTGAGTTGTTCACTGCCTGCTAATGAAGGCTCATGCAAGTATGTATGTTCACGTTACTAAAAAATTACAATGATTATAACCAGAGTAAGCAGCTGAAATAATCTGGTAATTTTAATAATAAATGCTTTTGAAGCAAAGTGGGTTCACTGAGGGTAATATTTTTTGTTTCAGTTTGCTAGTTACGTGCAGTGCAGAGAGAAATATTTTATTTTCCAATATGTAACAGAAGAATTTTTAAAATCCCTACTTTAGTGAACCACAAAGTTTTCTTGAGGCATAACCTAAGATATAAAATCCAGTCATCTTGAAAAATATCTTGCCTTTCATTTATTTATGTAATTTTAAATACGGCATTATGTATGTAATGAGCACCTTCAGGAACTCTCTGATCCCTGAACCAAAGAGATCAAAAGTCCACATCATGGATCTGGCTTGGATGAGAGAAGACAGATGATAGACAAGACAAATAAGGAATATATGTTTTTGGGGGAAAGAAAATGAAGCCAGGGTGGGGAAGACAAAGCCCCAAGGGGTTGTAGGTTGAAAATGGATGTTCAGGAACAGTCAGCTTGCTTGCTTGCTTGCTTTTTCTTTCTTTCCTTTTTTTTTTTTTTTTTTTTTTTTTGGAGACAGAGTTTTATTCTTGTTGCCCAGGCTAGAGTGCAGTGGCCTGATCTTGGCTCACTGCTACCTCTGTTTCCCAGGTTCAAGCAATTCTCCTGTCTCAGCCTTCTGAGTAGCTGGGATTAGAGGTACCCGCCACCACACTCAGCTAATTTTTTGTATTTTTAGTAGAGACAGGGTTTCATCATTGGGCCAGGATGGTCTCGAACTCCTGACCTCAGGTGATCCACCCGCCTCAGCCTCCCAAAGTGCAGGAATTACAGGTGGTCTGCTTTTTTGAGTCAGACTTTAATGACGGCCTGAGTGAGACGAGAAGGCATTCAGGGGCTTTGAGCATGGGAGTGACTCAATCTGCCTTACTTTTTAAGAGGATTCTTCTGGGAAGTGTGTGGAGAATTAATTCAAGAATGTAAGCGTGAAAGTCAGGGAGCTATTAAAATCAACAAGGTGAGGCCATGCTCAATAGCTCATGTGTGTAATGCCAAAAATTTGGGAGGCTGAGGTGGGTAGATTGCTTGAGGCTAAAGAGTTTGAGATCAGCCTGGGCAACATAGTAAGACTGCATCTCTAGATGGGCATGGTGGCATGCACCCGTAGACCCAGCTACTCAGGAGGCTGAGGTGGAAGAATCACTTGAACCCAGGAGGTCAAGGTTGCAGTGATGTGATCACACGGCTGCACTCCAGCCTGAGCAAGAGAGCAAGACCTTGTCTCAAAAAAAAAAAAAAGAAATGTCACGGTGAAAGGGATGATGGGGCTTGGACAGGATGCTAGCAAGGAAGTGACAAGAAGCCCTCAGTTTCTACATAGCGTTTGAAAACAAAGCAACAGGGTTGGATGAGAGATTGGATGTAGTGGATGAGAAAAGGCGAGGAAAAGAAGACCTCTAGGTTTGCACCATATTAGAATTCTAAGCAGGGGTGTTGTTAGGCAGTGCATATATGGGTTTGTAGTTGAGAGACGAGCTATGGGCAAGAGATAAAGACTTAAGAGTCATCAGCCTTCTAGATTATATTTAAAGCAATGAGGCTAGTGAGATCACCAAGGGAGTGAAAATAGGAGAGAAAACAGAACAGAAACTGGACCCTGGCTCACTCTGCTGTTGAGACGTTGGGGAGATGAGGAGGAATACCCAGAAATAAATAAAACTCCCCTGGATGTGCTATCTCAGTGCAATCATCAGTATCTCTCTTCTCAACAAAAAACCGTGAGCATGAACAACTTTCATTTATGCACTCAGGGACTTTCATTTTTATACATTTATTACTGCCAATCTTGCAAGGTTTTATTTCTGCTTCTACCACACAGGAAAAACAACTTAAATTCTATGTGGCAGGTTATGGATTTCTTGCAGGCCACGAACTTCTTTGTTCTTTTCCATGACCCTGACTGCTTCTTGTTTTTCTCTTGCAGCGTCAAAAAGTTCTTCCTTGTCTTTTGTGCTGAGTCTTCTTCCTCTACTCACCCACTGAATATCATGTTTTTCAAGTTTATGTGTGTGGTGTTTTTTTTTTTTTTTCCTGAAAAAAGGTATCTTCTACTGTTTGACTTTTTCCCTACGATTCTTTGTTAAAATGCTGTGTTTTAGATGCTATTAATTTGTCCTCTCTCTTAATGCCCTTGGATTTTCCTCTTAATTGTCTGCACCATTGCTGTTACCCAAGATGCCTGGCTGGAGTAGATAAAAATAAGCCGAAGTCCAAAAATTGGAATAGAATGGAAGGAATGGATCAAAGGAAATCAGGAGTTTTTGTGCAGTCAGATATGGGTCTTATAGATGAGAGCGGTCTAGAAAAGCAGTTCTGGGCTCAGATTGCGTGACTGTGCTTTGCCGGCATATTCCTAACTATATCACATATTCTCCACTATACAGTAAGTAGATGATAATAATAAGTGGGTATGATAATAAATAGATGATGTAAATGGATGATATAACCACAGTGAAAATCCTGGAAAAAGAAAAGTTAGGTTGCTGTAGAAAATCCACGTTTGTAGCTAGTTGTGTTATGTAAAACAAAAGCTGATGCTGAGATTGAGATCTGGTTTGGCTATATTGGCTTGATCAGGACACAGGCAGTAGTTCAAGCCATGGAAGTAGATGAGATTCTCAGAGAGACTGTGCAGACTAAGAAAAAAGAAAGTAACATCAGAAAATGCCACAAATCCTATGGCTTCATTATCTCTGATGAATGTGAGCTTTTTTTTTTTTCTGGAAAATATACATACCAACATTTCGTGCAGTTCATGATAAACCAATCCCTTTTGAACATTGCCCAGAAAGCAAACAGACTTCCCATGGTGCACAAATGTAGCCATAGGGAATATTGTTCATTCCTCATTGCACTGAGTATGCTTCAGTGTTCACCTCCCTTCTGGCCCACTACACCTGTCAGGGGTATTTTATAGACTAAATAGTGTCAGTTAGTCTAAATCACTCATAGACATGTACTAGGTGGTTTTCCTTTTTCAGAGATTAAATAAATCTTCCCAAGGTAACCACGGTTTAAAATATAGTAATCCACAAAATATTTATTATCACTTCTATATGCTAAAAAAAAATAAATCAAAGGTTAGAAACTTAAAGAAAAAACAAAATCAAGCTTCATCTCTAGTTCAAAGTGAAAGGGAGAAAAGCAAAATGTTTCATAAACAATATATATTGTCTCACTAATAATATTAATCCAGGTCACTACTGCCAAAGCAAACAATAAATTTTTACTTCATTTGTATAGATAGTAATTCAATGTTATATTTTGGGTAGGTTGTGAAAGCCAGATCAATTTATGCGATCAGAAAAATAAAGGAAGAAATTGATGAGTCGGATGCTACCGGCTACATGCCTCTCCAGCCTCTTCTTTTTGAACCTCCTTTGTACCTGTTTAGAGAAAAAGCATAAATAGTGTACTACCAACCTAACTAAGGTTATTATAGTCTGTTTGTTTAAAATACCATTTTTTTCTCCTTTTGTCTTTTTCCCACTCTCGAAGGTACTCAAGAAAATTGAACAGATGTAATAGATCAAATTAAAACATTTTATTTCCTGAAAGCCTTTTTTGCCTGTTGTAATGTGCAGGACCCCTCTCCTTTAATGGGAGAGACAGGAAGTTACCTGAATCTAGGCTGAAAAGGTTATGTGAAAAGAAAGTATAATAATAAAAGGGACACTTGGCTTTTTAAATCTTTGTTTTCTCTTAACCTAAGTAAGGCATATTAAAAATAAATGTTAAGGTGAAAAATAAATGTTGTCTTTATGAAAAATTAAAACTGCTCTCAGTTCCATATTGTTCATACCTTCATGCTTTTTAACATGATATTTTCCATCCTGGAATGACCTTACCCCAGATTCTGCTCATTTTCAAAACCCTGATTCATTGTCATCTTTTCTGTATTCCTACCTTGATTACCCACTTCCCCAAAAGAGTTAATCACTCACTTTTGTACTATGCCTGTGCCATATATATATATATAATTATATATTATATAATAATATAAATATATTTAATATTATATATTGCCAATTCTATGATATATAAAATATATAATATATAATATATTTGCCAACTAATATAATATATAATATATTAACATAATATAAATTACATATAATTATACATATATTTATATTATATATTATATAATTGCCAAATATATATGGTATTACATATAATATAATTGGGAAATATATATTTATAATATATGTTATATTAATATGATAATATATTTATTATATTATATATTATATATATTATATATTTGCCTATTATATAATATATTATGTAATATATTAACATAATATAAATTATATATTATATAATGTATATATAAATATGTATTACATGTTATAGATGTAATTATATAATGAATATTTATATCTATATAGTTATTCATCTATTCATATATGAATATTCAGCATATTCTATTTATTCAGTATATTCAATATTTATTTAATATATTCAATGTTCCAGGTTGCTTTAGGCTGTAGTGACATAATGTGGACAAAAGCAGACATGGTCCCTACTCGTTCAGAGTTCAGAGTGTAAAGATGTTTATCAGATTCAAAAGTCTTCAGCTTTTTTCACAAACGGTCTTACCTGGTAGATAGAATAATCTGAGCTGTTTATTTTGCATTTCAGTAAAAATGGAGGCAGAATATCTCAAATGTGAGGATCAAAGCCATAATCAAACATGTGGAGAAGGGGCCAGTAGGTAGCCTGAAAGGAAAGCTTTTCTGGTTATAGACATGCACTACATAATAATGTTTCAGTCAACACAGGACCATATGTATGATGGTGGTCCCATAAGATTATAATGGAGCTGAAAAATTCTATCACCTATTGACCTCATAGCTGTTCTAAGGGAATAGGAAATTGCATTACTCACATATTTGTGGTGATGCTGGTGTAAACAAGCCTACTGCTCTGCCAGTCATTTAAAAGTATAGCACATACAGTTACGTAAGTATTTAATACTTGATAATAAATGTTAATGGTTTATGTATTTACCATATTATACTTCTTAATCATTATTTTGGTGTGTACTCCTCCTATTTATAAAAAAAGATTCAACCATAAAGCAGCCTCAGGTATGTCCTTTAGGAGGTATTCTGGAAGAAGGCAATGTTATCATAGGAGATGACAGCTCCATGCCTGTTATTGTTTCTGAAGATCTTTCAGTGGGAGAAGATATGGAGGGGAAGACAGTGGCATTGATGAGCCTGACCCTGTGTAGGCCTAGGCTAATGTGTGTGTTTGTGCCTTAGTTATCAACAAAAAAGTTAAAGAAGTAGAAACATTAAAAAAAAAAAAAGTTAAAATAGCTTATAGGATAAAGCTGTTTAGAAAGAAATTATTTTTGTACAGCTACACAATTTATGGTTTAAGCCAGGTGTTATTATAAAAGAGTAAAAATGTTGTTTAAAAAGGTTTCTAAAGTATTAAAGGTACTGTAAACTAAGGCTAATTTATTATTGAACAAATAAAATTTTTTATACATTCAGTGTAGCTTAAGTGTGCAATGTTTATAAAGTCTACAGTGTTTCACATTCACTCACCGCTCACTCACTGACTCACCCAGAGCAACTTCCAGTCCTGCAAGTTTCATTTATCCAATTGCCCTGTACAGGTGCAGAACTTCGTATCTTTTATACCATATTTTTACTGCATTTCTCTATGTGTAGATATGTTAGAAACACACATACTTGCCATTGTGTTCCAACTGCCTACAGGATTCAGCACAGTATAACATGCTATATAGGTGTGAATCCTAGGAGCAATAGGCTAGACCACACAGCCTGGGGTGGGTTTGTTGCCTAGCAGCAGTAGGCTAGACCATCTAGGTTTGTGTAAATGCACTCTATGATGTTCACACAGCCATGAAATTGACTAGCAATGCATTTCTCAGAACGTATCTTTGTCCTTAATTGACACATGTCTATACATACCAGGTATACTTGAACACAATTTTTGCGAATCCATCTTTTACAAACTGAGTTCAAAGTTAAAAAGCATTAGTACATAGTTCCAATTGCCTTAAACTATAGGGTTTTCGTTTTTCTTTTTTTTTTTTAAATTATACTTTAAGTTCTGGGATACATGTGCAAAATGTGCAGGTTTGTTACATAGGTATACACATGCCATGGTGGTTTGGTGCACCCATCAACCCATCATTTACATTAGGTATTTCTCTTAATGCTATCCCTCCCCTTGCCTCCCACCCCCTGACAGGCCCTAGTGTGTGATGTTCCCCTCCCTGGGTCCATGTGTTCTCATTGTTCAGCTCCCACTTATACGTGAGATCATGTGATGTTTTGTTTTCCGTTCCTGTGTTAGTTTGCGGAGAATTATGGTTTCCAGCTTCATCCATGTCCCTGCAAAGGACATGAACTCACTCTTTTTTATGGCTGCATAGTATTCCATGGTGTATATGTGCCACATTTTCTTTATCCAATCTATCATTGATGGGCATTTGGATTGGTTCCAAGAATGGCGATCATTAAAATTCAAGAAACAACAGATGCTGGAGAGGATATGGAGAAATAGGAATGCTTTTACACTGTTGGTGGGGTGTAAATTAGTTCAACCATTGTGGAAGACAGTGTGGCAGTTCCTCAAGGATTTAGAACCAGAAATGCCATTTGACCCAGCAATCACATTACTGCGTATATTCCCAAAGGATTATGAATTATTCAACTATATTTTAAAGTGAATTTTGCTAAGTTTTATTGTCATGTCAGTTTTTTTTAATTATTTGGTTTTTTTGTTCATTTGTTTTGCTTGGTGAGTAAAACTGCTCTTTAAATCTAATAAAGGGAGGAAATAGAGAAGAGTGTGGATCTAAATAATCCAGTTTGGCTTCTTACAATAGTTCATTTTCCCAGATAATTGTTTATTTATTTTGCTTTGCCTCTACCTGAGAAAGGAGAAGATTTGGGTTCTATGCCTACCTCCCTTCATTCCCTTTCTCCACAGTGGTCAGATCCATTAAAGAACAGAGTCCTTGGTCAGATCAACATAGCATTCATGAAAACCAACTCTCAGAAAGGAGGAATATGCAACGACTGTCACTGCAAACTTCCAAATAAAGAATCTTCTTAGTGATATTTTCAAAATATATTGACAGGAGTTGAGTCATATCCTTGCATGTCACTGCCTCTCCCCACAGTGGGATGAACATTTGCATCTGAATGATCGCCCTTCATTTCCTGAGCTGGATTTGACTTTGCTGTCCTAAAGATGCCAGTGCACTCAGTTAGAACTGTGCTGTGCTAAGTCCATTACACAGCATTCAAGAAAATAAGAAATGATCAGAAGATGTTGGCTTTATGCTAAATTTGTCAATCACATGAACGGAACTGTGTCCAACAAAAGAAGTCATAATCACCTTTTATGGAAAAGGTTCTTAAAATGTGGTCCTCAGACCAATTGCATCACCTCTTGAGAATTTGTTGGAATTGCAAATTCTTGAGCCCCCACCCCAAATATCAGAAACTCTGGTGGTGAGGCCCATCAGTTTCTTTTTATCAAACCTTTCCAATGTTTCTGATACATGTTAAAGAGACACAGGAACATTTTTAAAAGCTGCTTAGTATGCACATAAAATAGAGATTATGCTGGAAAAGGTACAAGGACATATTTATATGGCTGCCAATGTAAAATGAGAAAAGCTCTGGAAAGTGAAAGAGTGAATGAGAGAAGAGAGAAGGGAGAGAGAGAGAAAGAAGGGAGAGAGAGGAGAGAGGGAGAAGGGGAGAGAGAGAGAGACAGACAGAGAGAAAGAGAGAGACCGGGTACAATGGCTCACACCTGCAATCACAGCACTTTGGGAGGCAGACTTGAGGTCAGGAGTTCAAGATCAGCCTGGACAACATGGTAGCAGTGAGCTGAGATTGCACCACTGCACTCCAGCCTGGGAAACAGAGTCAGTGAGACTCCGTCTCAAAATAAGTAAATAAATAAATAAATACTTTTTTTTTTTTTTTTTTTTTTTTGAGACACAGGGTTTCACTCTTCTTGCCCGGGCTAGAGTTCAGCGGTGCAATGTCGGCTCACTGCAAGTTCTGTCTTCCGGGTACAAGCGATTTTACTGCCTCAGCCTCCCGAATAGCTGGGATTACAGGTGCCACCATACCTGGCTAATTGTTTTGTATTTTTAGTAGAGCTGTGTTTCACCATGTTGGCCAGGCTGGTCTCGAAATCCTGACCTCAGGTGATTCACCCATCTCAGCCTCCCAAAGTGCTGGGATTACAGGCGTGAGCCACTGTGCCCGGCCAATAAATAATTTTCTTAAAAGATCCAGGAAATATTTATTTAGTCCAAATATGCAAAACTATTTGTCCTAAGGGAAATTATTGTTTTTTCAGCAAATAGAGTAATTAAAATAATACTAAGGAAATTCCTTATTTGGCAGTTCGCAATGACAATTTGTATGTGCATCATTTCTGAGAACTGTTTTTTCTGAATCCTATGTTGATATGGACAAGGACTATGTTCTCTAATGGATTTAAACATTGTGGAGGAAGAGGATGGAGGAAGGCAGGCATAGTTCCCAAATCCTCTCTTTTGTCAGATAGAGGCAAATTAAAACAATTATCTGGGAAAATTGACTTTTGTAAGAAGTCAAATCAGATCATTCAGATCCAGACATTTCTTTATTTCCTTCCTTTTACTCTATTAAATTACTGATTAAATCATTTTACAAGTTATTTTCTGTCACCTGTAAAAAACTTTTCAGCTAAGAAAGAAGAGATACCTCTTTTTCCACACTCAAAAAACACACCTCTAAAAATAGACATACATGTTTGTAAATAGAAAGATACATGAGAGGGTTCCACATACATCTGTCTTTTTACGTGAAAGTTAAAACTTATGGGTAAGTTTAATACATTGCTGTATATGAGAGATATACAAATTTAACTAATTATGGTTTTTTTGCTAAAATTAAATGTTATTTATTACAGATTGTGTCATAGAATATAGATTCCGTTTCATTTTTTTTTAAATGCTCATCATCACTGGCCATCAGAGAAATGCTAATCCAAACCACAATGAGATACCATCTCACACCAGTTAGAATGGTGATCATTAAAAAGTCAGGAAACAACAGCTGCTGGAGAGGATGTGGAGAAATAGGAACACTTTTACACTGTTGGTGGGACTGTAAACTAGTTCAACCCTTGTGGAAGTCAGTGTGGCAATTCCTCAGGGATTTAGAACTAGAAATACCGTTTGACCCAGCCATCCCATTACTGGGTATATACCCAAAGGATTATAAATCATGCTGGTATAAAGACACATGCACACATATGTTTATTGCGGCGGCACTATTCACAATAGCAAAGACTTGGAACCAACCCAAATGTCCAACGATAGCCTGGATTAAGAAAATGTGGCACATGTACACCGTGGAGTACTATGCAGCCACAAAAAAGGATGAGTTTATGTCCTTTGTAGGGACATGGATGAAGCTGGAAACCATCATTCTCAGCAAACTATCGCAAGGACAAAAACCCAAACACCGCATGTTCTCACTCATAGGTGGAAATTGAACAATGAGAACACATGGTCACAGGAAGGGGAACGTCACACACTGGGGCCTGTTGTGGGGTAGGGGGAGGGGGGAGGGATAGCTATTAGGAGATATACCTAGTGTTAGATGACGAGTTTGTGGGTGCAGCACACCAACATGGTACATGTATAATATATGACAGACCTGCACGTTGTGCACATGTACCCTAGAGCTTAAAGTATAATTAAAAAAAAAAAAGAAAAACTGAATAGATTCCATTTCAAACTGAAATTTCAGTTTAAAACATTATGCAAAAGAGCCCTAGCCATTTCATGTGGAATTAATATATTTTTCCATTTTGTTTCATAGAAGTATGGAGCAGTGGGATCACTTTCACAATCAACAGGAGGACACTGATAGCTGCTCCGAATCTGTGAAATTTGATGCTCGCTCAATGACAGCTTTGCTTCCTCCGAGTAAGTAGAGGGGGATGGGCTGCCCATGGAGGTTGTTCTTAGAGTTATTGACAAAATATAAAATTATAGTCTTGAGACTTACCTTAAATGTAAGTGGATGTTAAAATAATACTTATTTGACCAACAGGGGTATTCTTGAGACAGAATAAAAATAAGCTTAAATAAAAGTAAGGCAGTATTATATGAAATTAAATTAATCTACAACATTGATTGAGCCTTCTGGCTTCCCAGCTACAATATTAGGTTCTGGAGATAAATATGATCCTAGCACCGTGAGCTAATATTCGAAAATCATGGGTGGTAGGTGCCTGTATTAGTTTTCTAGAGTTGTTGTAACAAATGGGAGGCTTAAAACAGAAATGTATTCGCTCACAGTTCTGAGATGCAGAAGTCTAAAATGCAGGTGTCAGAAAGACCATGTGCCCTTTCGAAGGCTCTAGAGAAGAATCTTCCTGTGCCTCCTCCCAGCTTCTACGGGCTACTGGCAGTCCTTAGTGTTCCTTGCCTCTGTAGCTGCACCACTCATCTTTCCCGCCTTCTTCGTATGGTCTTCTCTCTGTAGCTATTTGTTCTTTTCTTACAAAGACATCAGTCATTAGATTAGGGTTCACCCTAATCCAATATCACTTCATTTTAACTTGATTACATCTCCAAAGACCCTATTTCCAAATAAACTTACTTTCACTGGTACCTATGGTTAAAACTTTAACATATCTGTTGGTGGCACAGAATTCAACCCATATAGCAGTGGTGAAACATGTTTGCACAGGTTACGACAACAGCTAAAAAGTAGCAATACTCAGCTGTATCTCAACAGGATCATTTAAGATGTCAGGAGAAAGTTACTTATAATTCTGCTAAACCTCAAAATATAAATACATATCGCTAAGGGGATGGGTGGAGGCAGAAAAGAAAGAGAAGATATTTCAGTGTGAAGAAGCAGCATATACAAAGTTAAAGCCTCATATATGAGTTCTTACATAGCAAACCTGAAATACAGACCTCAACTCCAGGGCACAGTGGATCTTGTGCTCTGTGTAAAGGATGGATGGGAGGATATGGCACAAGTGAGACACATGTAAGAAAAGATAACAGTGAGGGCTGTTACAGACAGAAATGATGAGAGTTTGAAGAAGGAGGAGAGAGACATCGGGAGCAGAGAAAAAGCAATCAAAATGTTTGAGAGCTATTTAAAAGGTAGAATTTACATTTGTGATGATAAATTAGAGATGAGAAGATGACTCCTACTTTTCAGGCTTAATCAACCTGGCAGGTGGACTATATCTCCACTTGCTTCTATTATGGGTTCTTTTTCTTTTTTCCTTCCATCTTTTCTTTCCTTTCCTTTTCTCTCTTTTCCTTTTTTTTTTTTTCTTTTTGAGACAGGGTCTCACTTTTTCACCTAGGCTGGAGTGCAGTGGTGCGATCATAGCCCATTGCAGCCTCAACCTCTTGGGCTCAAGCAATTCTCCTACCTCAGCCTCGTAAGTATCTTGGGTTACAGGGACATGCTACCATGACTGGCTAATTTTTGTAGTTTTTGTAGAGCCAGGGTTTCTCCATGTTGCCCAGGCTGGTCTCAAACTCCTAGGCTCAAGCCATCCTCCCGCCTTGGCCTCCCAAAGTGCTGGGATTACAGGCGTGAGCCACTGCATCCAGCTCTTCTCTTTTCTTTACTTTTTAAAAACTGTCTCTTATTTTCTTTTCAATACCTTAAAATAAAAAAGTTTGTTTTTAATTTAACAATTTGCAACCTGAAAGCAACATTTACTTTTTTTAATTGATCAATGAAAGCAATGACCATAGAAAATAAATTTTTAATGACCATTGTATTCAACTAATCAGAGAAATGACTTCCTCATCTACTGTTTCCCCTTTATATTGATTTGTCTCTACTACAATTAATATCCCATTATATAAATCACAGTGCCATATAAATGCATATGAATAAAAGGTTACTGTTATTAATATGTTCTGAAATATAGAGAGAGTGGGCTTCATTGATCCATTCTAAAGATTAGTAAAAATGTGAATCACTTTATTTCATTTTTCTTAAATATTGTTTACACTGTATTCAAATCATAAGAGGTATGCAGATACAAAACTATTGAGAAGGAATTGAACAAGAAAATTATTTTAACATCATAGTCATTGAAAATAAGTATTTGCCCTATCTGATTTTAAAATATTAAAAAATTGCATAGTTACTTTAGAAAATTTTATTGTCACCCAGAATATTTTCCCATATGAACATTGAATAAAATTTATGTTTGTATATGTAAGTGTCGATATTAAAATTTACCAGCTGATTCCAAAAGATCAAACAAGCACAACTTGTAGAGCACAGTAACTTTCTTGTAGATGTTTAGTGAGTGGATAAGTCAGTCAAGTGCCTATAATGATACCTGGATTGGCTTTTCCTGTGACTGTCCTTTTGCTTTCTACTGCAAAGATGTGGAACATTTTTTCTTCTTTTTTATTCCAATAGGCTTGGTAGTAAGAATATAATTGGAGATTAAAACAATTTTAATTATGGAAGAAGACAACACTTTCTAACAGTAGGCTGGGCTTTTTTGTTTTATTAGATCCTAAAAACAGCCCTTCCCTTCAAGAGAAACTGAAGTCCTTCAAAGCTGCACTGATTGCCCTTTACCTCCTCGTGTTTGCAGTTCTCATCCCTCTCATTGGAATAGTGGCAGGTAACGTAACCCAGAGTTTTGAAATTTAGTAACTCGTCCCGTGAATTATTCATTGCCAAAGCAAAAAAGAAGCATTCAGTCTTTTGTATATGGTACATTCATAAAGAAAATACTGCATTACAAAGTGTCCTTCAAATTTGTTAAGTTAAAAAACAGATTCCGCAAAGTTAAGTAGAAAAAAATAGTTTTTAAATTAGAAAAAACAAAATAGAATGGAAAAAAAGAAGTGCAAGATAAAAATACAGATTTGTAATAGTAAAATGAAAAGGACGCTCTTTCAAAAATATATTATCCTCTAGAGTCCTCTCCTTCTAATGTGGGTGACAAATTTTAAAAGTATTCATTTTGCCAATGTGAAGAAGTAAGATGATCATTTACATTAACAATAGCTATAATATAAAAAAAAAGCCTGTTGTCCAGGAGAAGCTCTTCTATTCTTAGTACTGAGAGCAGAAAAAATATTTCTGTCAGTTTTTAAAGAGAGGAGACTTTGTAGAATAATGGCCTACAACTTAGTAAAATCCAGCTTATATGACCACATTTTTCATAGGGATATTATTTAAAATATCTCTAAAAATAACCTGATAGTATCTTCTCAAAGAAAAAATATACAACGTGATACTTGGGCTCAAAATGATGTTCCTGAGGTATATATTTCTTTGGAGGGTCTGACTTGAACCGGAGATAGATTTGACTGTTTCTACAAGGGTAGATAGCTTGTATACACCGTAAGCACTTATGTAAATATTATTCCCCGCGTAGCATTTTGGATGGATTTGATGTATTTCGATTGGCATTTGAATTTATATGCCTTATAGCTCTCCTCTTCTCTATATGACTGATAAAATGTCTGCCCATGTGCTCTAATAAGAGATAGGCTGGGAATAAGATACATTTTTATGTGCATACTAAGCAGTTTAACAACAACAACAAAAAAGTTCCTAAAGACCAGGCCAAAGTTCCTCTGCTACAGGGCAGTCTAAGGAAGTATTCCAAGACAGAGCAAAAATTCCACTAAGAAAGAAATAATGAAAACAATAATACACCCTTACAATTAACCTCTCTACAGAGACTGTAATTATTCTCATTATCCACATAAGAAAATTCAGACAGCTCAGTATTGGAGCTGGAGTTCCCATCCAAGACTTCCGAACCCGAGTTACTCTGGTCTCTTGTCTCCCAGTTTAATCAAGTCTTTATAAAACAACATGGTTGGCCAATAAAAAAACAAAAAAGTCAGCTGGGCACGGTGGCTCATGCCTGTAATCCCAGCACTTTGGGAGGCCGAGGCGGGCAGATCACGAGGTCAGGAGATCGAGACCATCCTGGCTAACATGGTGAAAACCCGTCTCTACTAAAAATACAAAAAAATTAGCCAGGAGTGGTGGCGGGTGCCTGTAGTCCCAGCTACTCGGGAGGCTGAGCCAGGAGAATGGCGTGAACCCAGGAGGTGGAACTTGCAGTGAGCCGAGATCGCGCCACTGTGCTCCAGCCTGAGGGGACAGAGCGAGACTCCGTCTCAAAAAAAAAAGAAAAAACAAAAAAGTCACCACAGGAAAATATTTTCTAGAGGTAACAATTAACTTCTTTTTGGCCATTAAAAATACACTAAAACAAAAATCCAACCATAACAACCAACCAACCAAACTATTGTTGTCTGAGTAAAAGGACCTGACACGTTTGGCATTAAACAATTTCCTGGTAAATCAAGGTTATCTGTATGTTTGTTTATGTCTATGCTTATCTGTAATTTGAAATGTATAACTAAATGATGCTTCATTGTTGGGATTATTACATATAAACCAATTAGAATTTGAGTAGATTTCATCACCTTTATGCAAATCACTGCCTGCAGTACCAGCACCAGGGACCGCAGCTTCTGATAGGCTCGTGCAGAGTGCAGACAGGAGTCGGAAAATAATTCAAGGTTCTAACCAAGTTCAAAGTCCCCGAGCTATTAGAAAATACTACCAAGTCAACACATTTATTCTGGAGTTTACAATGATTGATTTGAAGTAGTTTGTTTACTGAAACTACAGTAGGTACCGACTAAAATTGACTAGACACTAAGAATGTTCAAATTTTATAAGTACACATCAGTATCAGATTCACCAGAATTTGGAAAAGGCCTCACTATGTTTATTATGTATTAACAATAAACAATTCACAATCCACTTACAACTTTAATTAAGTTGTAGATCAGTATATTTTTCAAAAAGAAACTAAAAAGCAATATATATCTCTACTTGGCATAAAAAATTACAAATGTAGACAGAATATATCCCTAAAATGGTAGAAGTTTGGCAAATATGAATTCATGGGTGAAATAGAATATTATATATAAAACTCTGTGAAGTGAATTATATATTGAGGGGTATTTTCTTAATTATAAGGTTTATTCCATTTACAATCTTTTCTTAAAGAAGCTGCTGAAATACTGTCAGAGTGTAACAACATAATACTGTGTCAGAACAATAAGATAAAAATCAAGAATTTATGTATATATATATAAATTGTTACTGAAATACTAAAAATTCTTTAGCTGAAAACAATATCCATTTGGGGTATGAAAAGATAATTCCAATATGAAAGAGTAGATATGATCTGTAGAATCAAATATAACCCTGTCCGTAGGTTGTTGCACAGACCATAAAATTCTGTCTCCTTTCATATGTGAAACAGAAAAGTCACAAAATGCCATCTCTCCAATAAAAATAAGTGAACTTTTGAAAATATAAATCCTGGCATTCTTTACCTAGATATATGATAAAAAGTTAACATTTTATAGAAAAATTAGTTTTCACTCAGGGTTCGATGAAACAGGCAATTTGTGTTTTTAGATCTATTAACAAAATGTAGCATTTACTGTCACCTCATGTTTAACTTGTTGTCAAATTAAAAATAGTTGGTCATATGACCTTAGTCACATTGGGGCTTCTCTTTCCATATTGTGAAAAATATTAGCTTTACTGATACAAAATAAATCTTATTTCCAGTGAAAGTAAAAGTATATGGTTGAGCAATCAGAGCAATGTGCATAGTAAAATAAAGCAGAGAGATGACTGTGTTCATATGAACATCCAACTCCAGAAAAAGATTTTTATCACACAATGCTACTTCCCCATAGTTAATCAATATTGGGCATATAGGTACCTGAATCACACATCTTGAATCCAAATATTAATCATAGCAAAAACCTGAAACTTTTCAAGTGCTTATTACATGCCAGGAAGTGGTCTAAGTATTTTACATATAGTTCATTTAATTATTTGGACACTGACTATTAGTACCCCATTTATACAGGTGGTGAAATAGAGGCAATAACAGATTAAGTAACTTGTCCAACGCCATAGTTTATAAAGGGCAGAGCCAGAATTGCTAACCCAGGCAGTTCTATTCTAGAATCTAAATTCTTAACTGCTACTTCAAAAGAAATAATAATCAAAAAAGGACAACGTTAGAGGAAAATTTTGAAGTAATTTTGATAAAATTGTTTATTTGGGCTCCTCATTGTTACAGTCAAATTCCATTCCCAATTGTTCTTTTATTCCCAGAGTAACTCAAGCAATACTTTCCACATAGTATATAAGAATTAAATCATAGAATTAATGAATGCATGGATGAGGCTGTCAACCCAAAACTTGGTCCCCACAATGAATTTAATAAATGTGATGAGATACAGTTAAGAAATATACTTTTATTTCCAAGGTATTGATACGTTAAGACATGTAGAGTAACATACTCAATACAAACTCTATTGTAGATCACATCAAAATATTGTCATATTTTGTTATTTCACATAAGCTAATATTAAATTAATAAAACAAGGAAAAATATGGTATCATGTATTTTTTGAAATTAGAATTTAACTGCATATTTAGGATGACACTCTTAATGTAATAATAGCTACAGTAGTAATGCTTATCAAACAGCTTCTTTTTTTTTTTTTTTTTTTTTTGAGACTGAGTCTTGCTCTGTCAGCCAGGCTGGAGTGCAGTGCAGTGGCACAATCTCGGCACACTGCAACCTCCGCCTCCCGGGCTCAAGCAATTCTCCTGCCTCAGCCTCCCGAGCAGCTGGGACTGCAGGCACCCACCACCACGCCTGGCTAATTTTTGTATTCTTAGTAGAGACGGGGTTTCACCATGTTTGCCAGGCTGGTCTCGAACTCCTGACCTCAGGTGATCCACACACAGCCTCTTTAAGTAAAGGTAGTAAATACGGTGGACTCTGTAACTGAGATAATGTCTCTCATGTACAAGGCACTTTAGAGGAATAGATATGCCTATTTAATTAGTGTTCAGCACCACTGTTGAGGTAATTGTTACTTTTACAAATTGAGAAAACCAAAGCAAGGAGAGCGATAAGTAACTTGTTCAGAGTAGCCTAGTTGGTAATGGAGGAGTGTAGGAAGATTCTAGAATCAGGGAACTAGATCCTATGTAAACACCAAGCTGTTAGTTATTGAACAAAATCCTTGAGTTAGGGGTAGAACTAAATGTTTTTCATGTGTTGTTTAATTCTCAAAAATCTATAAAAATGGTACTATCACCATATCACTTTTATTAGAAAATTGATAGACTCAGGTGGAGCTGCATATATTTTTGAGCAATATGAAATTATTCTTTTTATTGTTCCATAATTGTCAAATGCGGAAAATCTTATACAACCAATCTAATATGAATATGACTAACATACATGTAGATAAAAGGTATAAATAGATACATATAGAGAGATATAGGAAAACAGAAAACCTCAGCCATGACTGAATAGTGATAAGATTGTGTTTAACATTTTCCTCATTCTCTATAATTATTCATGTTTTGTTTTTTTTTTTTTGAGATGGAATCTCACTCTGTTGCCCAGGCTGGAGTGCAGTGGCGTGATCTCGGCTCACTGCAACCTCTGCCTCCCAGGTTCAAGTGATTCTCCTGCCTCAGCCTCCTGAGTAGATGGGCCTGCAGGCGCCCGCCACCACGCCTGGCTAATTTTTGTATTTTTAGCAGAGACGGGGTTTCATCATGTTGGCCAGGATGGTCTTGATCTCCTGACCTGGGGATCCACCTCCCTGCGCCTCCCAAAGTGCTGGGATTACAGGCATGAGCCAACGCACCCGGCCTATTTTTGCATAAAAAGTTAATGTTTAAGCCTTTTATTTTTTTGAAACTAGAAAACATATTGCTTTAGATTATTTCAGAATGATAATTAGATTGTTTAGAGAACATATGCCCATTTGGGGATATCTATCAGCAGCTCAGTATGTTCCTAAAATACTATTTTAGAATATAATTTTTTTTTAATTTGGGAAATAATTAATCACAAGATTGTTCATCAAAACATTGGCTATATTACTGAAAACAGAGGCAAACTAAATGCAGCTATTTTTTAAATAAATCTGGCAGATCCATACATATACTACAATGGAGTTTTTAAAATTATTTTTGTAGAATAATATTAAATAATATAAAAAAGTACTTATGATAGAGCATTACATTAAAAAGTTGTTTCCAGATTGTTTAAAAATGTCATATTTTAAGATAATAATATGATAAGGGTTGAGACACGTACACCAAAATCCTAGAGTTTAAGCTAGGATGGTGAGATTCATGGTAAATTGTTTTTCCATATTATGTATATTTTCTAAATTTTCTGCTGTGAATATATATTTTATAATAGTTAAAAAGGAGTCTTATGAGAATCGTACCTTTATAAAGTGAAAAAATGTATTTGCCCAATTTCCTGCTCCACCAACTGTGAATTAGGTCTGTATTAACTGAAAATGACGCTTTTCTGGCAGCTCAAGTGAAAGAATGAAGAAGATAAACCAACAATTTATCCATATTATGCATGACACCACTATTTCACCACTTATTGCTTTTGTCATCATCATGATTATCACTGCCATTGTTAACATATTCAACATGCTTACTTCAGAAACTGTATTAAGCATTAGTCCACTTTATTCTAACAGCAGTTCTGTAGACACATAGCCTTTCATAATCTATAGAATTTTTTTTTAATTGGCAAGGCCAAAATCAATGGCCAAGAAGATTCATATAAGCAGCAATTCAGAAAGCATGATATAATCCTGGAATCATCTTAACGTAAAATAGGAAAGGGAGAATGTATGCTTCTCAGCAATATACGTAGCGTAGTTCACACGTTGTAGATTAAAAAAAAATACTCGATTTAGCCTAGCATTCAAAATGTTGGAATGGAATGGAATAAAATGAACGGAATGGAATGATATGGGATGGGATCCTGTATGCATTCAAGGATCAGGCCATGACTGGTTTATTTTTACTTAAATATACAGCTCAACTCCTGAAGTGGGAAACGAAGAATTGCTCAGTTAGTTCAACTAATGCAAATGATATAACTCAAAGTCTCACGGGAAAAGGAAATGACAGCGAAGAGGAAATGAGATTTCAAGAAGTCTTTATGGAACACATGAGCAACATGGAGAAGAGAATCCAGCATATTTTAGACATGGAAGCCAACCTCATGGACACAGAGCATTTCCAAAATTTCAGCATGACAACTGATCAAAGATTTAATGACATTCTTCTGCAGCTAAGTACCTTGTTTTCCTCAGTCCAGGGACATGGGAATGCAATAGATGAAATCTCCAAGTCCTTAATAAGTTTGAATACCACATTGCTTGATTTGCAGCTCAACATAGAAAATCTGAATGGCAAAATCCAAGAGAATACCTTCAAACAACAAGAGGTAAGAGTTTGTGGACTGCAAGGTCACTTGCTGGAACTGAATCCATCCAAGTCTCGTCTCCTTAGGCAGTACAGGAAAGCAAAAGTTGCAAACCCTGTTTCATCATCCTGTTTACCCTGATTTCTATGGCTAACTTATCCAGATTTTAAACGAATGTTAAGGGATTTAAAATGGATTCGCCTTCTCTAAACTCTTAGAAAAAGGGGAAATTTTTCCCATTGAATATAGACTCCCTTTACATATTTTATAAATACTGTTAAAATGTCTTTTTAGACTGCCTAAACCAATCATAATTTTTAGGTTATCTTAGCAGATCTTGAGAAGTGAACACTCTGTATGTGTGAATTTTGCAACAGACATATTTGATATGCTTAGATTTTTTTTTTTATTTGTAAGTTTCACTCAGAACTTTTGAACTTATACATGGTCCTCACCTTAAGGTGTCAGAAGACAATGGTATTACAGTTTTTGTATGGGGAGTCTGTTGGTGAACCTCATCCCAACATGTTGATATTCCGTTTCTATTCCATGTCACGTCTAAAATCTATCAGTGTTTCCTACATTGTTAATAAGTAAGCATATCAAAGGGTATTGGGATATCAAAGCCTTGGGCTATAGAAAGATTAGAGAAAGTGTACAAAGAAGAAACTGTCCATAGTTTTGAATAATATAAGAAAGACAGAAAGCGAAAATGTTAGTTATCAGGATAGACATTGATTAAGTTGAGGGGAAAGAAGAATGGAGAAGAAATACTATTTATGTAGAAATAGGGTCAGAAGAGCACTGAGATGAGGTAAGGACAGAGGGAAGGTGGATGAGATGGAAGAAGAAGGATACATTTGATTCTGGCAGTGCATTAAATCCTGCAGAGACCATGGAATGTTTTTGTTTGTTTGTTTGTTTGTTTGTTTTTGAGATGGAGTCTCACTCTGTTGCCCAGGCTGGAGTGCAATGGTGAGATCATGGCTCACTGCAACCTCTGCCTCCCAGGTTCAAGTGATTCTCGTGCCTTAGCCTCCCATGTAGCTGGGATCAAAGGTACGTGCTACCTCACCCGGCTAATTTCTGTATTTTTAGTGGAGACAGAGTTTGCACCATGTTGGCCAGGCTGATCTCGAACTCCTGGCCTCAGGTGATCTGCCCGTCTTGGCCTCCCAAGGTGCTGGGATTACAGGCATGAACCACTGCGCCTGGCTGACCATCGAATGCTTTTGAACCCAAACATGAGGAATTGAAAGCAAATTGGAAACTATCTGGAAGGTGGTAGAAATTTTGAACCTGTTTGAAGTGATAATTAATGGAAACGATCAAAATCTGGTGATCAGTGAGCTGTTTGAGTTTCGATAGATTACACTTAAATTTTGGAGGGAATTCCAGCATTAGAAAAGGAAATGCAAGGGAATGGTGAAAGTTTGAAAGCTATATACATCTTTAAAAACAGTAGTCACTCACAGAGACTTAGAAACTAGGTCAGTGCCAGTGCGTGCATGTGTGTGTGTGTGTGTGTGTGTGTGTGTGTGTACTCCTGTGTACACTGAAAAACAACATTGGGACGCTCATCCCCATTGCTTGAATAATTTTATTGACCTTTGAATCTTTAGCTCAATGTAGGAATAAATAAATTAAATGAATGCCTGAATTTGTAAATGGCGTTTGAGGAAATAGGTTATAAGTGACACCAGCATAACACTTATCAAGGACACACCAAAAATTAATTTGAAAGAAAGAGGAAGAACATTGGCACCAAATGAAAGACAGGGGTGGCATTTATCATCATCCATAGAGGTGAAAAGGACTGTACGACTACAAAATTAAATGCCTGTTTCTAGGAGGGTCACTGGTGGTAGCATGTGGAGGGAGTGTGTGGATGCTATATAGGATTTTTTGAAATTAAATACACTTTTCCTCCTCCCAGTGAAAATAATTTCCACTGAAATTTGACAAATGTAAACACCATGTGCAGTTTTCAAAGAAGGGAATAATAAGGCAGCCTCAGCTGCCAGGCGCAGTGCCTCACACCTGTAATCCCAGCACTTTGGGAGGCCGAGGTGGGTGGACCACGAGGTCAGGAGTTCGAGACCAGTCTGGCCAACATAGTGAAACCCCATCTCTACAAAATTAAAAAAAAAAAAATTAGTCAGGTGTGGTAGTGTGCACCTGTAATCCCAGCTACTCGGGAGAACCACTTGAACCCAGGAGGTGGAGGTTGCAGGGAGCCGAGATCATGCCATTGCACTCCAGCCTGGGTGACAGTGCGAGACTCCGTCTCAAAAAAAAAAAAAAAAAAAAAAAAGAAAGAAAAAGTAGCCTCAGCTTTTAGGTATGATGAAAAACCTGGATGATTCCTCGTTTCTAGGAAGCAAAATCACTGTCTAGTCACTTAACACTTTATGCTGAATGTCTGGAACTACCCGACATACTTGCAGCAATTTTTAGCCCCCTAAATTAAGTCAAGTGTATTTATCATGGCGGTGTGCCCTACAAACATCCATGCTCACTATTTCACCTTTATTGTAATGATGGTATTGTACAGAAAATATTAAATGGTCAGGGGAGGAGGAGGTGCAAGATAGAGAAATTCTAATCTAGAATAAGGTTTTGTTTGGGAGAAGGCACAGTTAGAGCAATAAAAGCTGGTAAGTCTCTCTGCTTCAGTATAGTGTCATTGAAGAGGCAAATCTAGACGCACATTCATTTATTTTCGAAGGTCCTACACTCTGACCATCTTGATCCTCTCACCTAAGCTTGTCTAGTCTAGTCCAGCTCAAGAGAGTGTAATATTCTTTTTACTTCTGGATTAAAGAAAAACATACCACTGGCTTATTTCCCCATGTGCAAATCGGAAATGAGTATCTATCAACTTTAGAACATAGGAGTACTTAATACAATAATAAAGCATACAATGAAGACAGAAAATGGGATAAAAGTAGAACAGAGAGACAAAAATTATTACCAGAATAGATGAGAACATTTGGTTCATCAAAAATAAAAAGCCCAATGCTGAAAGAGAAAACCAAGCAAATGATCTAAAAGAAAAATTAATAAACATTAATCGTCAGAAATTTAATGACTGGATACTTTAACCTCACTATAATTTGAAAAACAAGTTAAGTAATAATGATTTGCTATGTACCTACTCTTACTATGCAAACTTAAATATATTAATGGTACCCAGTATTCAGCTGCAAAAAGTGGACGCTGATACGCAGTAAGAGGAAGAAAAATGGTAGCATATATTTGGAGAGTAGTACGGCAATGGTTGAACAAAAATGCTGTTTAATGTTTAGTCCCTTTGGTCAAATCCACTTCAGGAAGATGTTCTATAGAAGTACTTATATCAATATACAAATATATTTAAAATGATGTTCATGGCAGCATTGTTTAGTTGTAGAAAAGTGCACAGCTCAAAACACTATGAATAGGAATCCTAAATAAATTTTGAGAAATAGATTCAATTCCACTAAATTACTGAAAATATCAGTCTCTAAAGTATTTTAATAGATAAATATCCTTAATATATTATTGAGTAAAATATAAAAGCATATTCCAGGATATAGGTAGATCCTCTGTCTTTTTCACACTCTTAAGTATATGAATGTGTATGTATAAATATACACAAAATATACGTGTATTTGAAAACACAAAATACTAATGCCTCAAATACAGAGGCAATGCAAACTGAAAGTAAAGCACTGTTAATATGCGAGTTCGAGGTTTTATTGAGTATGAAAATCTATTGTCAATGATCATCACCACTGAGGATTATGACATTAAACTTCACTTATTACTATAAAACAATTTCCAATATAAATCTATCAAATTCACGAAATTTGACTATGTTGCCACTGTAAGTACAGTACGAAGACATTTTACTTCAGATAAATTAAGACCTTATGGTGTTTATTTAATTTTATTGTTAGAATTTTGACATCTATATATATAGGAATAGAAACATATCATAGATACATTAAATTGATTTTTGAAGGGGGTTGTGATTGTAAACATTCAGCCATTCAGTCAAAAGAGGAAATGTTTCACAATTAAAGAATTACTACTTTCAAAACAGTTTTCTAATTTCTATATTCTTATTCCATAAAACTCCCATAATATGTTTTTAAAAACCTGAACTCCGAGGGTTTCTTGAACTTTCATATTTGATAATTATGTATGTAACAAAGGCTGTGAATGCTCACTTATGTTTTACAGGAAATCAGTAAATTAGAGGAGCGTGTTTACAATGTATCAGCAGAAATTATGGCTATGAAAGAAGAACAAGTGCATTTGGAACAGGAAATAAAAGGAGAAGTGAAAGTACTGAATAACATCACTAATGATCTCAGACTGAAAGATTGGGAACATTCTCAGACCTTGAGAAATATCACTTTAATTCAAGGTAAAATGTCTTGTCATTTCTCCAGAAAATGATATATATATTAAAATATACTGATACATGCAGAGATTTGATATTTGAAATCCTATGGTTTGAAATAAATAGTTTCTGAGCTTACATTTACTGCAAATACCCAAAGGAAAGAATATGAAAATCAGATAAAGACAGGGTACGATAACCAGTAGCCTGGTATCACTTAAATAGAAAGGGAAAAGCAAAATATATCTTAAGGTCTAATGATTTTCTCATTGTTAAAAACTACCTCATAAGTACTGAATACAAGTTTTTTGTAATTACAAGTTTCTTCACATGTTCACAAACCAAGCTTGTTAATATTGCTTTTCCAAAACTTCCAGTCTTTTTTATTTCTTACTTGACTGTATTATTAATTAAAAGGATCTTTTGAACTCTCCAAAATAATGATGGATTTGTCCATTTCTTCTGCAGTGCCTGTTAGTGAAATAAGGTGAATTGGATCTTACTTATATATATAAATAAAATATATGTATATATGCTTTCTTTATATATATAGGCTTTCAGTTTTAGCTTTACATTTTAGATATTTTAGTTTTAGCTTTACATTATAGATTTTTTCTATATTTTGATTTTTTGATTTCTATATTTTGATTTTGATTTTCTATATTTTGATTTCAACCATTTGCATGTATTTTTCTATATTTTGATTGCAACCTTTTGCCTGTTGGTATTCTTTGTTTTAGGTTAGTCTCTTGTAATGAATACTTACCTTTTCTTTTAAAAAAATATACAATCTGACCATCTCTTTGCACTGTATTTATTTCCACTATCTTATCATGTGCTCTGGTTTTTTCCAGTTTATTTTATGTTTCTTTTGCTTTGCTGTATTGCCACTTTTGGATTGATTAAGATTTTTCTCTTGCTGAATTTTTCTCTCTACCAAAATTACCAAACAGGTTTCAGAAACTTTGTAGTATATTTCTATTTCTTATTGATTGTTGACCTTAACATTTATCTTGAAGTCTAAAGTTGATCAGTATCTTAACATTCATCCTAAAATACACAAGGAACTGAAAGTGCTTTGATGATCCTCTTCCCTAGTTTCCTGCTAATATTTTAGTACAGTTTATTCTACTTTATTTTTTTTTAATCGAGAACTTAGTCAATATTATTTTTCTTTTTTTATACAGACAATCTTGTGGAGCCTTAATTAGGGAAAAGTAGTCAGGCTGGTAGGACCAGGGAAAGCAAAGAGAAAGAAGATAAGCTATAAATCTGCCTTTCTTCTTGGTCCAGAACATGTAGGTCCCTCCTGCAAGAAACTTGTCACCAGATACCTGCAAGTTAACCCACTCTAACCTTGGTTTATCAGTACTGCACAAGCTCTCTTCAGCATACGTTATAAACACTATTCTATAAAATCTTCAGCAAACCTTTGTTTCCTGGCAATCAGTTTCTCTTCTGCTGGCCTGCTCATTGCCTCCTTGCAACGTATTTTCCTGCTTTTGTTAATAAATCTGCCTTTCTTTATCTACAACCATCTTGGTAAATTATTTAACCCTGCACCACTGGCTCAGATAGTCATCGCTCACCCACAACAAATATTTATTTAAATTTGCGCATGAATTTACCAATTGTTCTCCGTTCTAAAAGCACCTCGGGCATTTCTTCTGGGATTATTTTCCTTCTGCCTGAAGTATATCTTTTGGAAGTTCATTTAGTGAAAGTAAATTGATCAAGAAACCTTCTGATTTCATTTTCTCTATTTTGACTTGATCTTTGAAATTGTTTTACTATATACACACTTATTAGGTTGACAGTTATTTTGATTCCTTCTATCAGTGTGCTGAAAAAATTGGTCCCCTGGCTTCAAGCTTTTCTTGTGGCTCTTAAAATGACTGCCACCAATCTGTTTGTCATTCTCTTTGTCTTTCATATCTGCAGTTTTACTTATCTGTGGTTTTGTATTGATAATTTATCCATCTAACATTTGCTGTACTTCTTATATTAGTGGATTTATGTCTATCAGTTTGGGAATATAACCAGCTTCATTCACTTTGACTATTGCTTCTTCACGATTCTTTCTCTCCTTTCCTCTGTAACTTACATGAAATTCATATTGGATGTTCTCATTCCAGCTTCCATGTCTGTTAAGCTCTATTTCATGATTTTAATATTTTGTCTCATTTTATATCATTAGCAACTAGAAAAATAGAACTAAGAACTTCATGTGACTTCATTTCAAATACACTAGTTTGAGAAAATTAAGAAGCCTAATAATCAAGTGATGACAATGAAAAAAAGAATAAAAACAAGTCCCAGAAAACTATATATAGACAATTTTTACTTCTAATGCTCATAGTTAGTAAAATTATGTAAATTTACAGACACATAAATATGTAATATAATCATTGTTTTAAAATTTAAGAAAATGATAAACACAAAATTCAGGGTAATATTTATCTATGAAAAGGAAATAGATGAATGAGATAGGGGAACATCTAGGTAGATACCGATTTCTTGGATTGTGATGTTGCAAGGGTATTCTCATTATTGTTGTACTTTATAGCTTGCTTATACAGAACACATATCATATATAGTATTTATCACAATAAAACAGATGATAAAGAAAAATTTGAATTAATCAGATTTTTCTCTAACAGTTAGATACCTCCACTTTGGATTTCAAATAAATGTCCGAAGCTTTACAAATTCAAAACCAAATCCTTGCTTCTTAACTAGCCACCCGCATCTGCCTCCCCAAATCTGTTGCGTTTTCAGTCTTTTTGTTGGTTTTGTCATTTTCCAACTACCTGCTCACTGCCTGATCTTGGAAGCTGTCTTTGACTTCCTTGCTCTCATTCTCTATGTAATCCATTTGTAAGTCCTACTAATTCTTATTTCATACAATATCTCAAACCAAACTTCTTCTTACTCTCTACTACTACTCTAATTCAAGCAACCATATCCCAGTCTGGTGTATTACATCCGCTTCTCAGTTGGTGTCCCTGGCTCTGCTCTTAGTCCATTCTAAATAGCAAAAAAAAAAAAAAAAAAATGCTATTTAAGAAAACCCACACAAATTACTGGATGTGTGTGGTTTCTCTCTTTACACTAGATGTGTCTTTTCTCTCTCTTGCTTAAATCCTCCAATGTCTTCTCATTAGTCTTGGGATAAAATCTAAACTTCTACTTGGTCTGTCACCTGTCTACTTCTCTGCCCTAATTTTCTCAATCTTCCCTCTGTCATCCTTCTGCCTAGCTTGGAAATGTGGAAGAATGAAGTGCCACGAACAAGTAAAAGTTAATATAGAAAAAGTGCTTGTTTCATTTCATGCTGTCCATAATGAACACTAGACATTTTCTCTTTCTCTTGAAAGGTTCTTCTCTACGTCTCTACTCCTTCTTGGCTCCACTTGAAGTTACCTCCTCCACTTTCCACCATTCTTATTCTAAACTCCCCCATCTCTCTCTACCATGATTTGCTTTAATTTCCTCATAGTTTTTACCACTATATGAAATCATGTCATCTCTACATTTGCTTACTTGTTTAGCTTGTATCTTCTCCAGCAGAATGTGAGCTCTGTGAGGTTAAGTCTTCTCCTCCTTGTCTACCTCTGCAATCCCAATGCCTGTTAGAGTGCCTGGAAAATAGTGGGTGAGCAATTACATATGTGTTGAGTGAATAAGTGAAACTAAGACTTTTGTCTTAGCAAGTTACACTCTATAATAGCAGTGTCATTCTTCCTGGTTTCCAAGCTATCAATTTTAATTATTTTATATCTCCCAAGACCACCATTAGTTCTCAACATTCTGTATTCTCTGTTCCTTTGTCATTTCTTTATATCCTCGTATAAATTATTCTTATGACTCTTTGCCAGAGTTGCAATTGTTTCCTGCCCAGACTGTAATCCTTTTTGCACCCTTGTAGAATACAGCCTTCCTAAAGGAAGTCTTAGATTGCATAAAGACTCTCTGTTGCCCCGTCATTAGACATACAGTTTTGCCTGTAGCACTCAAGGTCTTTTTCAGTGTGTCTCTTAACTAGTCTTGAATGCTTCATTCCCTCGCTTGTCTTTTTTGTATATCAAATATTTCAACTAATTTGACTGTGATTCTAATGTACCCAGTACTTTGTGCATCCTGCCTCATGTCTTTTCCTTTATTTGAAATATTTTCTCTTTGATTTGTATTCGAAGATATCTTGTTTATCATTCAAAGTCCATCTAAGATGCCACCTCTTGCATGAAGCCTTTGCTGGTTCTACCAATAGTAAGGCCCAGCTGATACTTATTTCTGTCTTAATATGGAACATTAAGTATTCTCTCACAAGAGAATACTTAATGTGATAGTTATGTATAAAAGTATCTCATATTCTCTTCGAGAACAGTGTTCACTCTTCCTGGACACAAGCTACTTCCATTAGAAACTGTTCTTTATATCTCTTATAGCACCTAGCCATAAAATATCTATTAATTAAATTATAACTTAAGAACCATATTTTAGAAATTAATGAGTGCTTTATCCTTTATCATGTGTTGATTGCAGAGTTAGTGTAATTACTTTGTGTTCTCTTTTCCCTTATATTAATAATCACTAAATAATTATACAGTTAAAAGAGACAAAGATTTTTTAATACATTTCTCAAATAGTTATAATAATTAGAGCCTTAAAGAACTACATAAAATTTCATTGTGGAAATGGTGAAGTAGAGTTTGGTGGAGAGTTGGGGATAACGTGATTTAAAGAAGCAAAGATGAACTCTAGAGAAAGGTATTTAAGAGAAATAAAATATAATATGACTCTGTGGTGAGAATAGCTAACATTTTGTTTATTTGGAAACATTTTAGATATATTGGCTTCCTAGGATATGAAAGCACCAAAAAAGAAATATTGATTTTTATAGTAGAGAAAATGAAAAAGCAACTGAGGGCATTTGAATTTGGAGTTTTGTATAATTAATTACTGAGATTGTAACAGCTGGACTGTAGGCTAGAAGTGGTGGCTCATGCCTGTAATCCCAGCGCTTTGGGAGGCTGAGACAATATAATTCCAGCACTTCAGGAGAGTGAGACATGAGGGCCTTTTGAGCCCAGAAGTTCAAGACCAGCCTAGGCAAAGTAGCAAGACCCTATCTCTGAAAAAAAAAAAAAAAAAAAAATTAACCAAAGGAAAAAAACTGAATTGTGAGTTTGTCTAACCACTATGTAAAGGAAAAATTCAGCTGAGGAATAATGGAAGAACAGATGTGGAAAATGAAGTCAATTAAATTTAGAACATGGTAGCATAGGATCAGGAAAGAAATGAAATTCTTCTAGTTCTGATTTAACCCAACTAGCTTTAAGACCTTGAGCAACTCACTCTCTGACCCTCTATAAATATGTTTAGTTAAACAATGTTTAAAGTGTCTTCCAGATTAAACATATCTAAATCAATGAGCATGAAAACTAGAGAAAAAAAAAAGAAGCAGGTTTAGGCAGCAATAGACTAGAAGATGTGGCAGATTTTTATGATGATCTGAATATGAGACAAGATTGAAAACGGAGTAGAAGATTAATGCTCATAATGAATAAAAACTAGAGAAGCATCGCTCTGGAAACTTAGTCAGATATTATTAGTGCTATGTTATCGTCTGAGGATTTTAAATGATATGATACACCTGGGTTTGTTTTTCTAGTAAATTGTGTAATTTTGTTCTATGATATTGATGATTATCAAATATTATATATCAGTACTTTTTTGTGGTTATATAGAAATATTACTTTTCCTTTTTAAGAAGTAATCATGGAGGAAGCTACATAGTAGATTTTGTGCATGTGTTGTATAAAGGTAATTCTTCATGGCAGATTATTGTGATAGTATTTATGAATTATTCCTGTAACTGTAATTGGAAATATTAAAGATGAAAAATAATGTAAATTCTATGGCTTCTTGAACTAGAATAAATCATATATTTTGGCCAATATTAACCCATTTTTTTTGACATGTATCAGCAAGGGAGCTGACAGGTAGCATTTTGTCCATTTATTGATGCAACGAGGCAGTTATTATGTCAGTATGGAACAAAATTTTGAAAAGACTAAATGGAAACTACGAACAAAAGGTGACTACAAGAGACTCTAAGTCTTTATTCTTTTTTCCATAATATGACAGAATAGGTTACTGCATTTCCTTAATTTGATAGAGACATTGCAAAACGGATTCTTATCAAAAAGAAGAAGAAAGCCAACACTGAGGGAACTAGGAGGTGAAACAGATAAAACACATTCAGACTAGATTAAAAATCTCTAGCAATAGTCCAGCTGTGTGATGGTGAAGACGTGAGCTACAATGGGAATGGAGAGGAGGCTAGTTTTGGAAGGTGGCAAGGTAGTGGATAGTGTTCTTAAAAGTTCTGCATCAGAAACTAAGAGTAAAGTGGTATATAATTTGTTATTTTATTCCCCCAATGAATCTAAAAGACACTTAAAACATTTATTGAGATCCTTCCAACATTTTGTTAGAAACAGTAAAAGATCTATAACAATGTACAAAAATGAAACATAATGTGAGATTAATGTTACATGAAGAATAGAATGACAATAAAAAGGTACATTCAACATGCCTAGTTAGAACTCTAACAAAAATCTTTACCTGTTTTTCTTATTGTAGGATTCGAATACCAGGTATCAGTATTTTTATATAAAAATACAGAGAGGGATCTTTAACTCCAAATTTTGTAAAATAATACTGATCTATTCGCTGTGATTGAACTAATACTCCAAAATTAAGTATACAGTTCCCATAATTACATGTAATATAATTGAAAGGATAGTTAGTAATTAGGAGAGTTCCTTCCATCTCTTACTTACCAAAGAAATGGTGAGAAGTCCATCTCAGAGGCTAAGAGTCTAGATCTATTCTCTGTGTCCCTTGTTTCTTCTTGTTTCATGTTCTAGTTTTTCCTGGAATGTCTGCGTCTTGCTTTGGATCCTGAGTTACTAAACTGAAATCTTTGCTTGCGCACTTTTTTCAAAATACCATCCTTGATTACTATCCCTGTGCTTCCCTTCAATTAGCTCAACAAAATTCAGGCATAAATTGAGTGTCTGTCCTGCTTGCCCCCCTCCCCTGGGATTCATTGCTATGTAGTGTTGAATGGATGCAGCTGCGTTCATGGTTATGGAAGTTACCATAACTCCATTTTCTTGGGAAGTACTACATTCTTCTGCAGGGAATAGGGGGCACATAGAGATTCCCTTTGATACAGAAATCTTACATTTCTTGTGCAGCATTTAAATATATGTCTCGCAGCAATTAAGCTATACCTTAGAATATAATACACCAGTTAATTTCTAAAAGCCCTGTAACATGTTGTTTGCATGACGATTATGTGGAAAAAAAAAATACACGTACACACTTAGGAAAGAAATGGTAAAGATCTTTAGTTAAAATAACACAACTACGAATTATATTCTTCCTCACGCTTTTTCTAGGCTTTTATGTTTCCTATAAGTAGAGTTGCTTTTATAATAAAAATACAATTAAATGTGTGTCCAATGTTGCATATGAGGAGAAAGGGACATTCTATTGAGAAGAGTAATAATGATATCTTGGGCCTCTAAAACCCAAATTGTACCTTGAAAATGGGACATACCAGAGGAATAGACAGAAGTAGAGTCAAGGATGTCAAAATAAGCAACAACAAAATGTACAAAATATACTTATTCATGAGATAATCTTTATTTATTTATGTGGTTCCCCCTCTTAGATTTCTTCGGGTATTATGTCTCCCACCTGATTAAAATTTGTAAACAAGTGCATTCTAACCAGGGATGCTGTATATATTTGTTTTCCTTGGACTATGTATGTGTCCAAACTAGCAATTGAAAATGCTTCCTTTAAAATATCACTATTTCCTTATTCTGTGGTGAATCTATGGAATAATGTTTCTTTCTGTTTCTTTCTTCTGGTGTTGAAAAGGAAACTAAGTGCTCTTCTTTAGATAAAGAAGAGATTATTTGTCCTCTGTACTCCATATGGAACATGGTGTTTAGGTAGGATTACCTTTGAGTTCTAAAGACATGCTAGGTATAATCATTTTAAAGGCATGATGAGCAGGTATCTGTTTTGCTGGACACAGAAAATACAAATGGCTAAATCAGGGTTGTTTAGTTACAGCTCTCAGGAGAGCCACCTGAAAAAAAATGATGAGACCAAAGTTTTCCTTGCAATGTCTCCATTTTGTTTACAGTATTTATAGCAACCTAGAAATTCTACTTAATATTTTACTTGAAAAAAGAATTCCTCTACTCATTTTCACCTTCCTGCCTTTCCTCATGCCTTTCTCAATCCCTAGGAATTGTCTTCCTTCCCCTTCCCTTCATTCTTGAAAGTACCCCTCATATCCTACTTTCTCAATGAAGACTTCAACCATCACCATTCACGCCGATCTACAGTTCACTGACAAATATCTGAGTTTATGGTCAGTTCCAACAAAGTGCTTTCTGGTTGTCTACCATGTGTGAATTTTCCTTTCCCTTGAGGGTATCACAAATGTCTTTTAAGTTCTTACTTATAGATTTTCCGTATAGTAGCTAATTCTGTATTATATCTAACTCTATGTCTAACTGCCTAGGATGCGTACAACACTAATGTGACTTTGTGCCAGCCTGCTGTCTTTTCTCTGCCCCCAGGTTCTCAGAACATAGAAAAGTGTTAGGCACACTCACATTTAATATACTGTTAGGTTGTTTACTTTGAGGCAATGTCATCCTCATTAGTATAGGGCATTATATTCCTGAATAGCAGAATACTCCTCCATTCATGAAGTTCAGTATTATACATTCTATATTATTGCACAACAAATAGAAGACTTTGGATTTCCTTATATAAGTACCTTGACAGATGACTAACCCATTTTTCCTATGCTTTACAACTATGATCAGTAACTGTAATTTTTTTAAAGGTCCTCCTGGACCCCCGGGTGAAAAAGGAGATCGAGGTCCCACTGGAGAAAGTGGTCCACGAGGATTTCCAGGTCCAATAGGTATGGTAATTTTAGCTATTTAATCATATACTGTGAAGATAGATGATATACATCCAGGTACATGTGTAGGGGAGGATTGCTATTTTATTTATATCCTGCAGAGGATGTGTATGTGTGTGTGTGTGTGTATGCACGCACATGTGTGTATATGTGTGTGTGTTTTGGGGGATTAGTAAATGTTCTAGTAGCCTAATCACATAATACACTGAATGATAAGCATTACTCATGACTGTTGAAGAAAATAAATGCTTTAACCAGAGTAACCAAATGGAATTGTTTGTAAGTCTAGATAGTGACATGTATATAATAGACAGCAAACAGTATAAGGCAGACCTAACCGTAGATCATATGTGAAGGGGAGTACAACAATTATCTTTGCGTTGAATAAATCATCTTCACATTTGCAAGCTATCTCATTTTTAAGACATAAAAACTCACACTAGTAGTGAGTTATGAATCACAAGCAAATTGGACTATATTTCTTATATAGTATTTGGAATATATCTGTTTAAACTAATGAAATCTGAATGTAAATATTGGCTAAAATATGGATGACACTTACCTTGCTGACAGTCACTCTCTGTGCTTTACTAAGAGCAAAACTGTTTCAAATTATTTTCCTCTAAGTTGTAATCTTGAAAGAAATATTTTGAAAGAAGACACAGAAGAGAGAACATGAACTTTCTTTGCTTGAAAAAATAAAAAAGATAATAACATGATTGTCATGTTAGCCTTGGCTTGAAATCAAATATCCTGCATGCCGTTTGATGGTAGGAAGTATACTGCAAGGTCTAATTATAAGTAGAATGGTTTGTGTTACCAAAACATGTCTAAATACCATGTACTTCATCTTATTTTTCTGTCTTTTGATTATATAAAAGGTTCTTCTTTCTGATCAGTGTATTGACTAGCCCTGGTCACATCAGAAAAATTTTTGAAAATGAGAAGCATGAACTTGATACCTGCCTAAGCACATATATGTATATATATGTATATAAATATATATGGCATATTATATGTGAAGATAGATGATATACATCCAGGTACACATGTTTTATATATATAAAATAGCAATCCTACCCATATATATAATATGCCAAGTCAGGTGGTATTAGTATTGATGTGCTTTTGAATGCCTTGCCAGGAAAGAATTTTTATTCAGGAAAGTCTTTCTACTTGACTAATGCTAATCAGATATTAACAATGCTGCATTAATGTCATAAGCAGAGGAAATAACCAGTATTAAATCTGCTGCCAGAACTACCATTGTCAAGGGTCTATCACCCCCTCCATACAGGCTGCAATTGTCAGAGCTTTATAACTCAACCATAAAAATTCAGTCTGGGCTACATCTTGCCATACAGTGCTTCATCTTGGGAGAATCTTCTGCAGCTGTTTCTGAACTGTGAATGTATGAAATAGAAGGATTTATAAATTTCAGCTTGTGTTAATGTTATAAATAGACACCATTGCAAAGAATCTTTGATTTTGTTTTTTTTTTATTGTAAATTAACGATTTGTCATGGTTTAAATTTACAGGGTAAAAAGTGATGTCATAATTTGTTGCTTTTGGTACTGCTCATTTACACAAATAGGCATTACCCAGTTCCTCATAAAAGACAGGTCGAGTTCCTGGGGTAATCAATGACTCTTCTAGGTTATCAGGTTACCATTTTGTTTGGTGCACTACAAGAAAAGTATTCAAAATACCAGGCATCTTTCCTAATGAATTATTTCTGGATGTCTTGCTGCATTCTGTTCGTTTCTCCACCAGATTGTCTAATTGCCTTATATTTGATGCCGAAATCAGGAAGCAAAGAGTATATGATGGACAATCATACTAATTCTGCTTTCTAATCTGAGCAGGTTTATTGCTTCCCCATCTCTACATCCATTTGAGCCTACTAAACTCAGCTTGACCAAGTCAAACTCACCTAGACTCACAATCATGATGCGAATATCTGCAAAACCTAAGTGGTTGTCCTAGTAGCCTCAAATAACTAATACATTAAATATAGTAGAATTATTATTCATATACTAGGGTGGATATTATGTTTAAATATGCTTTATTCCCCAAATAATAACAAATTTATTTTAGAGGGCTATTTCCTTGAAAGCATGCTAGGGAGAATGACCTATCACTTTTCACTCAAAAACTATGTGCTGAGCACTTTCTCCAGGCCTGGTGTTCTACAATACCCTATAGAGTATGTGTAAACAGATACAGAATCTCTGAATTCACAGCGCTTCCAGGATGATAAGTAGTAATATAAGGGAGGCAAATGTCATGATCAAGGATTTTTTATCTCATGTGAGTTTCTTTTAAGGGGCTGATTTTACCCATGACAACAATGTTTTGAAGGAGAAGCAACTTTCTTTTCTAAAGGAAACTTTGTGTGGGCCATCTAAGAAGCTGTTTATGCCCAATGTGATCAATAACAAGGTAGTTTGACCTGTAGGCATGGGTGGGGCTACCTACATGAGATGCCCTCGAGAGAACTGAAGGCTTCTCTGGCTGCAAACTTTTCATCATCAACCAGTACTATTTACTTCCTTACGTAGTCTGAATTTTCCACCATAGGAATCGTGCTTCCAGAAGAGAAAATAAAGCTCATCTTACCCATAGATATTGGAAGAGAGGAACCATATTTTATTAATGTTTATATCCACGTATATCTTTACCCTGGCCCGCCCCTTCCCATAGGCTATGGCCCCAAGAAGGCCCCTCCCTAAAGCTTCAGCAAGGACAGGATCCTTAAATATACACCTGAGTAAGGAATGTTGCCTGGCTGCAGGCTGTCGCTCTACACCTGAGTATTGAAAGTGGGTTTTTTCTGGAAGTAACAAATTGTGCCAGTGAATCAAAAAATGTCACTGCTAACTGTGTACGTATCATTTAATAAAACTAAATTTAGAAGCCTTTACAACAGGCTGGTAAAAATAATGATTGTATTACTGAGGAGGAGGATGAGGAAGAGGGGGAGGAGAACAAGAAAAGCTAACATTTACAAAGTAGTCATTACATGCCAGGCACTTTTCTAAGTGTTTTACGTGTATGAGCTCTTTTAACTATCACATCAGCCTGATGATGCAGAAACAAATAATACACCCATTTTACAGGTGCAATGCACAGTAAAGTTAAATGACTTGCTTGAGGTCAATCAGCAACTGGTAAGTGGCAAAGCTGGTATTTGAACCCCAATGGGCATGAGTGCAGAGTCCATGCCCTTAACCAGTCTGCTACTTTGCAGGAAGGAGCCTGAATGGAGCAGGACACCTAGGACATGTGAATAATTATCAGACCAGCTTTATGTAAGTGATTTGATCACTCTGGTCTCATGGAACTGTCTCTAAAATGATGGATTCTGACTTGATGATGTCTAACGTCTCTTTGAACATCCCATGGCTGAGATTCCATGTAACTGTACTTATATTGTCCATGAGTTAGAAGCAGGTGCCAGACCCTTTCCCATTGCCACAGATTATTGTAGAAAATTAGTTAATTGCCTCCTGAAAGCCTCAGGGTATCTGATCTTATGGAATAAAGTTCAACAGCTGTGCTTACATTTTGGGGACTACATTTTGAACCATCATTAAACAAACAAGTCACATAACTCCATAGGCCATATAGAGTCTGCTTAACCATCTCCAAGAACAGAGGTCTATGACTGCCTGATTTCTATGAAAGTATCTCATATGCTTCATTTACAGAGTTATTTGTTCATTCATTGAAAATGTACTTGATTTGTAGTTGAACATCCTTGATTTTTAGTTGAACAGCTGTGTTCTGAGCATCACTGTGAGGTACTTGAGAAGTCAGCATTGGAGGGGCTTCTCTGATGCTCTTATGGCCCCAAGATGCTCCTGTCTAAAGCAGGCAACATGGCATTCTCTGCCATGGGATCAAGTGAGACTGGGTGAACGAGTTCTCTCTGAATTGATAATGACAAAATAAGATGCCTAAACTGTTACAATAGTTTATCAAGAACTACTGAACTCTAGGATAAAATATTTTATTTCACTGGAATATAACATTTTCTTTTATATACAGTTGTTATGATCACCATAGTAATATTGGGTAAAAAAAATAGCCATTTTCAGTTTTCATTTAAGCATATGAAACCCTGGATTTGTGTAAGTATATAGTACATACTCATAAGTAAATCTGTGTATCGCATGTGTGTGTGTGTGTGTGTGTGTGTGTGTGTGTGTTTATGTTTATGTTTATTTACCCTGGGATTACAATGAAATATGTAAGAACAGGTCCATGATAGATAAAGTAATATATTTCAGAGCCAAGACACCAATTTATTTTATAAAACACTCGTTGATACTTTACATTGCTTGAGTTGCATTTTTTTCTAAGGCAAATCTTAAGAATTCAATTTTCAGCTTATGCATTTTAAAGTTATTATTTCAGCTACAGCAAGATCCTGCCATTTGATGATTACTGGTTGACTACATAAGTCTTTTGGTTAAAACTCCAAGATCTATTTTTCCTAATGTGCTTTTATTTCTACCAACAATATGTTATTTATTGAATAGCTACAATGTGCTGAATGTACTAAGGTTTATATTTATCGCTTCTATTGTTTTTCAATGTCAAACATTAAATTTTAGGAAAGATATTATTCCTTCATTTGAAGATTCTCTAATTTCATATTCACTTATAAAACTAGATGTTTTCATTATACTCTCAAGTCTGTATGAAAATGAATTATTACCTTCTTTTTTTCTTCGTTAATAATGTAGGTCCTCCGGGTCTTAAAGGTGATCGGGGAGCAATTGGCTTTCCTGGAAGTCGAGGACTCCCAGGATATGCCGGAAGGCCAGGTATTACAATAATGTGTATTTTCTTTATAGAATATGTAGAAGAAACACCAGATAATTTTATATATATATATATATATATATATATATATACACACACACACATACACACACACATAATGTTATATATGTAGTATACATATTTTTAAATTCTTGGATGATAAAAAGTGGTCATTGTGTGAATACTAGTATTCACATGCAGTTATTTTGTGGTCTAGAAATGATTTCTGAAATCAGATTTTTGAAACTGACTTCTGTTCACCCGAGGAAAGTCTCTATATCCCAAAGGAAAATCGTTTAAAAAAACACACAGGAGTTATAAACTCCTCACAATCATAAATCATCACTAACAATGATATCCGTCTTTGAACAAAGAGAGTTGAAAGACTGGCAAAGAAAAAAAAAGAAGCAAAGTGTAAATACCCGTTTAACCACAACTGGCCAGACTTTGTGAAGTTACTGTTAGCAAAATACAGAGAAGTCTGAAATCCTATCCTCTGCAAAATAAATTGTCTGCCATTATCTACTAGTGCTTAAGAATCAAGGTTGCTCAGCATTTTGAAATGTACACACATGATGATATTATTTCCATCAGCTCTGCCAGTAGCCTAAGCTTAAATTGCAAACTTTGAACAGCAATCTTAGAAAGAGCTAGGCTTACTGTCTCCTCATTTCAAAGTGAATTATCATCAAGAGAATAGAGTCGGGCCAAGTGCAGAGGTGAGTACCTGTAGTCCCAGCTATTTGAGACGCTGAGGTGGGAGGATTGCTTAGCTCAGGAGTTTGAGACGAGCCTGAGCAACATAGTGAGGCCCTGTCTCTAAAAAAATAAGAAAAAGAAAAAAAAGGAATAGGGTCCCTATCATTGAGGTATTTTTAAACTACATTTTATTTTTAGAACAGTTTTACATTTATAGAAAAACTGCACAGAAAGCATAGAGAGTTCCCATAAACCACCCATGCACACATGGTCTCCTCTACTATTAACATCTTGCATTAGTGTGGTATATATGTAACCATTAATAAACCAACACTGACATATTATTACCCAAAATCTATAATGTACATTAGTGGCCACTCTTTCTGTTGTACATTTTATGTGTTTCAGCAGATGTATAATGTCATGTATCCATCATTACAGTATTAGACAGAATAGTTTCACTGCCCTAAAGGTCCCCTGTGCTCCACCAACTCTATTCCTCCCCACCACAATCTCTTGGCAGCTGCTGATCTTTTTACTGACTCCATAGTTTTGCCTTTTCCAGAATGTCATATAGTTGGAGTCAGACAGTATGTGGCCTTGTCAGACTGGCTTCTTTCACTTAGCAATATGAATGTAAGGTTTCTCTATATCTTTCCATGGTCTGATTGCTCATTTCTTTTTATTACTCAATAGTATTCCATTTTATGGATTTACCACAATTTGTTTATCCATTCAACTACTGAAGGACGCTTTGGTTGCTTCAAAGTTTTAGGCTGGGCGTGGTGGCTCACACCTGTAATCGTAGCACTTTTGGAGGCCAAGGCAGGCAGATCACTGAGGTGGGCGGATCACTTGAGGTCATCAGTTCAAGACCAGCCTGGCCAACCTGGTGAAACCGTGTCTCTACCAAAAGATACAAAAATTAGCCAGGCATGGTGGCATCCTATTCAGGAGGCTGAGGTGGGAGGATCACTTGAACCCAGGAGGCAGAGGTTGCAATGAACCAAGATCATGCCACTGCACTCCAGCCTGGGTAACAGTGAGACCCTGACTCAAAAAAAAAAGTTTTAGAAATTCTACGTAAAGCAGCTATAAACATTAATGTGCTGGCTTTTCTGTGGACAGGAGTTTACCTAAGAGTGTGATTGTTGGATCAAATGGTAAACCTATGTTTAGCTTTGGAGAGTATTATTTCATTCATTCACCCAGTTCACACAACTTGATGAGGGGTCACTGTGTGCTGGAGATAAATACAGCACAGCTGCTTTTCTTAAGGAGCTGGATACAGAAAAAAAATGCATAAGCAATTAGCTATAATGCCATGTGGTAAGTAAACAACCTTGGTGAGGTTGGACAAATTGCTGTATGGAAGTAGAGAGTAAGGAGTGATTAATTCCATACTGTAAGAAAATGTGTTAGATAGAAAGTAGTGTTTGTTAGCGCTGGACTAAAAGAGGCCTAGAATTTCTTTAGGTTTGTATTTCTAAAACTATTGTAGGTGTTGGAATCACCAGGAGGATGTGTTAAAACAGCTTACAGGACTCCACCCCAGAGTTTCTGATGCAGTAGGTCTGGGATTGGGCTTGCATCCTCACCAATGTCCAGGTGACGGTGATGCTATTGGTCCAGGGACCACATTTTGAAAACCATTATGTTTAGGTGGAAAAAAACAGTGCAGAAAGAGTAATCACGCACAAAGAAAAACAACGGCAGAGGTAATAAGTCCCTTGACAAAACATATCCTTAGGACATCACTTCTTATTAAAAGACACCAATCTGGTAGAGATGTCAGCAGCAGTGCCAGGTGCTGTTCTAGTTGTACTGCAGACTAAAAGAAGGAACAGTACAGTCTCTCCTCTACAAGAGTCTGAAGAAGGTGCTAAAATTAGAAATAAGTCCGATAATTGTCAAATATGAAATAAGTAAAAACAGGTCCGTGATAGATAAAGTAATATATTTCAGAGCTAAGACCCCAATTTGTGATATAAACACTCTTTGATACTTTACATTGCTTGAGTTGTAATTTTTTCACAGCCTGGACTATGTGAATGATATCAAAAACATTATCAGATTCTGAAGCAAAAAGTTCAAAAAGAACATCCTCCATCTATTTTCTTCTATTCTCCCTCCCACACTCCTTTTCTTCTCACCTTGCCCTTTCCTTCTACATGGATTAAGTACACACTGCTCGTAAGGGTACAGTGCTAGAAACAGGGAAATGAAGGGTGAATAAGACAGTCTACAACTGAAAAGATACACAAACATGAGAAGAGAAAGAGAAGACTTCACACTTTCTCCATGCATAGCAGATCTATAGAGTAGTCCATTTATAAGACCTGATATATTTACTTCAGAAAGTTTGGAGGATTTAATTGATGTGAAACCTTGCCCGTCTTCAAAATCCGTAGAAGGTTCTGTTCTACCTTGTTCAACATAGTAGAACTTTCAGCATGCAAATAACGTACTTCTGTCTGTTTTGCCTCTTGAAGTCCATTCAAAGACTTATTGTTTCCCTCAGGGTAAGTTATGGTCATTTTCAGGATTATCTAAAATATTACACCATATGTAGTTCATTTATTAATTCAACACGTTTACTGAACATTTTCTCTCTGTGATTCATGGAGCTATCTACAGACGGTTGAACACATGAGTCTGAAGTTTCGAGTAGAGGCCAGAGATTAAAAGACAAAGTTTATCTATGATTATATAAATATTATTCAGAACCACTGATTTTAATAATATTTTATGGGTAGAGAGTGGAAAGGTACAAAGAGAAGGGGCATAGCATAAAGCTTTAAGTAGTTCCAGAAGTACAGGCTGAGATGAACAAAGTAGCAAATGGAAGAGAAGTAGCCCAACTGAAGAAGAAAACCCAGAGAACAGAGCATGAAAAAAGGCAAACACAGAGTTTCAAAGGTGGTCAAGTAAGGTGAAGTCTACAAAAAGCCCTTTGCACCTGCTGCTGTGGGGATGTTGCCATTGTTCAGAGCAGATTCTGTGGGGTGGGGTGATAACCAGATTAGGGTATGCGGAGAAGGGAATGGTTGATAAGGGTTGGAGATGTGGTAGACTCAACTCTCAAGCTGCCTCACTATGCAGAGGAGGAGGAAGAGATGCATTTTTTGTTAGTTTTGTTTGTTTCATATGGTTTTTTTTTTCTTTGAAGGAAGGATCTGAGTACCACTTAAATGCTTATGGAAAGATAAAATAGAGGAGGAGTGGCTGAAGACAGAGGAAAGCAAAGCAAAAAAGATAGTGTAAGGTTAATGAGTGGTTATAAGGTGAGGAATTCAGGGACCAGGAAGAAGCACAAGGCTTAGGAGAGAGGATGATCACATTTGAAAGTAGCTTGAAAGAAACGGGGGATGGAAAGGCGGCCTACAGCTGCAGAAATTTGGTTAGTGTAATTAAGGCATGTAAGCAGAAATGTCTAACCTAGTATCCGGCTCATATAAGAGGCTCACAAAAAATGCTTGAAATCATGATGATGTTATTGAAGACACCCCCTCTTACATCCTTTCAAGTTAGAATATCCTCCTACATATGACCTGGTTCTTACTTTTGAATGGCTTTTAGAAATATAAGTTACTTTTTATTAAAGAGTAATACATAGGATAGGAGATAGTTAACTCTAGGTTTGGACCAAGCCCTTGCATTCATTTTTAACCAAAGGTATCATTCTGAAGGACCACTACATTCCTCTCCATTAGAAAGGATATTTTTGCTGTTTTCAAGTGTGAGAAAAGATTTTCAAGTATCATCGGTAAGCAAATCTCTGAATCATGTTAAAATGATACAAAACATTTGTTTGTTTTTTTATAAGGAGATAAGGCATTTTATTTTACCATCTTTAAAAGGAAAAGTCACAGTGGTATAAGAACAAAGGCAAAATAAAAACATGAAACTAATTTTTTATTTATCATAGAATCTGAGAGCTACAAGGACCTTTCGTGGGTCAAGCATGTCTCTGGCTTAAGCATGTCTATTCTGAAATATCTAAGACAAGTTGCTGTGTGAAAAGACTTCTAAGAACAATGCATAGTTTCTTTCTCTTTTCTCATTGTGAAGTTAATGTTGAAATAATGAAATTAAGCTTGCTTATTATGTTCTCTTTTATGAAAAGAGTTAGAACTTTGTTTTAACTCCTCCCTTCCCTAATTTTTAACAATTTCTTAGAGCTTTTTCCTCTTGGACAATCTGAAAATTTGGCACTATATTTTATTAAAGCATGCTCTCAAAATATAGGAAAGGTTTTGGGTGCTTTGTGGTAGCAACAATTTTTGCCAATTTAGCAGTACCTGAAACAACTCAATTACAATTAAGAAATGAATTTAATGATATAAAGTATAATCACATTATGCAAAGCAATTAGAGAATTAGAAATTTGATATTATGACCTGATATAAAATGGTTGGCATTTCATTAAATCTTCAAAATACAATTTCAATTGGGAATAATGTTTACTCTTTAAGTGCCTCAAGTCTCATGCTACTGATTGTATATGTTACATTATATATATGTATTTTTTTAGCTGGTAAATTAGGATCCAAAATCTTCTCTAAGAAATACATAATGACACATGTTCAAAATAAAGCACAGATGAAGACAATGTAAACTAGAGAAATCAAAAATAAATATAAACACTAAAATTATATATAATTGTACCATATAAAATGAACTGCGATGAAAAAGTTTTTCTCTCATTCTCTGAGAATAAAATCACAAAGAGAAGATTCCAGCTAAGCTTTAGGAGGTGAAGAATAGGAATAAGAAGAACTAGATCTTTTATGTGTATCTTTTATGGGCAAAGTGCTTAATGAACAGGCAACTCTACAATGAAAAGCGTTATTTTTTTATTTTATAGAAGAATAAACTTTAGCTCAGAAAGATTTAAAGACTTGTCCCAAGTCACATACCCAGTAAGTAGCAGAGCAAAATAACTCAACACAGGGGTTTCTAAATTATTACTATTATTATTTTGAAGTCTATGGTTGTTAAACTACATCCTCTGAGCTCTAGGATGAAAAGGTTGAAGGTTCTCAGTTTTGCTGGAGGGAATCAAAAACATTAACAAAGGTTTTGACTTTGAGACAGAGAGCACTAGGATCAGTTCTAGATTTATGTCAAGGTAGTAATTACTTGAAGATCTGATTGTATCTCATGGCTGTTGGAAAAAAAACTCAATAAGCAGGAACAGCACCAATCTTAAGAGATTTCTTGGTACTAAAGAAAGATCTCCTGCACACCCCTTTAAAAATGGGACAGTGGGTGAAGTAGCAATCCGTTGGCAAAAAAAAAGATCTAGCAATGTTTCTGCATCCATTTGAAGCCCTGACCCTCATATGAAATATTTGTACCACACCCCTGTATAAATGGGTGAGGTTTCTCAAAACCAAAGGTGATCATCCTGGAGATGTGAACGCTCCAAGGATCTTCCTACCTTCCCCATGAGTAAGAATCTCAACACTCCCAGAAAGTCATTGGCAGCCCAGTTTTTGGGGATGGTACACTCTAAAGAAATGAAAACCATAAATGTAATGTGAATATAAGAACGGGATGTGGGAGCTCATGGAAGGCACTGGACTTCCTGGGGGTGTGAGTAAGACCCAGTCAAAGGAAGAGGAGAAAAGGAGGATAAATAAGTACAAAACAAACTCCTTATTCTTCAGCTTTGCTTGATTTAGGAAAATGGGGCATTTAGGGCCTTGTAAATAATTTGAAATATCACAATATTGAGTTCAGAATGGAGCTTCCTAAGTAATAACTATTATTATTGTTAACATTATACAATGTTATTATACATTTCAATATCTGTCCATTCTATTATATTTTAATTACCTTGTGATGATCTGTCTCCAGTTAAAGCAAACATTGTGAATTGCCCTGATTAAAAACAAATATTTTTCTTCTTTTCTCAAGGAAATTCTGGACCAAAAGGCCAGAAAGGGGAAAAGGGGAGTGGAAACACATTAAGTAAGTATATAGTATTTTGTTTTCTGTGTGAATTCTTGTAATAAGTAAGTCTGTGATACTAGAGATCTGGGCTTGAGGCAAATGTTCGCAACTTCAGCACAGATCCATACAGACTCTATGGAAGCCAAACATAATTTTCTACAAATAAGCATGCTAATTGGGGTAAAACAAATAGATTATATTATACAACTCTTTCAATCTCATTATCCATTTGTCTTTTGTTTTTGTGATGAATACTATTTTCTAAAAATTCCACAAAGAAAATTGTTCAATTTTCAAGTCAATTTCTATCCACTAAGGGAAAATCAAGCTTATGCATAGAAACAATTACAACCTCCTTCCTTACTAAATGAAACCTTAAATATAAGAATTTGGACAGTTTAAGAACCCTGAAAAATTAACTATCTGATGTCTGGGGCTCTTCGTTTATTTTTCTAAAAACTTGAAATGTGGTATTCCATGTTCTAAACCTTTAAACCTACAACAGAATAGATTTCACAACAAGAATATTTGTCAATCTACTGCCGACCTCATGTTGCAATATACACAACCTGTTAATTGGACCTTAAATACTAAATATTAGATGAGATGTCTTCTATTTGCCATGCTGTAAGTCAATTGTTGTGTCTAGGCTGAATGTATACTGATATAATGAAAGGATTATGAAGAGGAGTGTGGAATCCCCACTTAACTTCTCAGAATCAGAAGGCTCCTCCCTCCCTCTGTATTCCCAGTAGAAACTACATGTGATGTGTGTGTGTGTCTGTGTGTCCATGGGATAGGTAACACAAACAGGGTGATCATATTTAATCATCAGGGGTCTGTTTTAGGCAGATAATGGCAAATCCTTTTATGTACCAAAATCTGGCAGTTTTTATTTGTAATCATTATCTAGAAATATACAGTAGCAATTTATCTGCCCTACAAAACCTAATTATTTTAACCTAATATTGTGTAGGTATGACATATTTAGACAAAGTAGGGCATGGTTGTGAATACCAGCCATTAGAGTAGTCATTAGTGTAATCATGATGCTTTCAAAGTACAACAGAGTATTGTGTGTCTTCGGAGTACTTTAGTGTTACTTAATGAGTATTACTGTTATATTAAAACAATAGAAACATTAATCTGTCTGTCTTTTCTCCATTCTATCCATTCGTTCTTTAATGTGGTCACTTTTGAATGCTGTATACTTTTTTGTTTTTTTGTTTGTTTGTTTGTTTGTTTTGAGATGGAGTCTCGCTCTGTCGCCAGGATGGAGTGCAGTGGCACCATCTCGGCTCACTGCAACCTCCACCTCCCGGGTTGAAATGATTCTTCTCCCACCTCAGCCTCCTGAGTAGCTGGGATTACAGGCACATGCCACCACACCCAGCTAATTTTTGTTATTTAGTAGATACGGGGTTTCACCATTTTGACCAGGCTGGTCTCGATCCCCTGACCTCATGATCTGCCCACCTCAGCCTCCCAAAGTGCTGGGATTACAGGCATGAGCCACCAAGCCTGGCCCACCTGCTGTGTACTTTTTACTCGACTTACTTCTTTCTTTCTCCTTTTCACTCCATTTACTTTCAGCTGAGTTCCTCTTAAAAAGTTCTCCTTCTTATCCTTATGTTATCTTTATCTCTGCCTTTATTTTATCTTTTGTTTTTATCTCCTTTTCCTGAGGCTTTCTCTGAGCTTCTTAACATTGACTTTAGTCAAGTTTTGCAAATAAGAAACTATTTTTTTTTTATTTTTACACTGCAAACAGCACCCCACTGTCTTCCATTACCTAAGGTTATCAAATGCTTTGAACATTTTCTTCAGATATGTTCAGAAATGTTTTCAGTTACAGTATTTTCATGGCTATTTTGGAGTTTATGCACATGCTTTCTTTGAGGAAGGAGTAAGAGAGATGTTTGTATACAGCCTCTGCATTCTCCACCATGCCCTCCCTCCTCATGCAGAGTATATAACAACTGCATAATGCTTTAAAAACAAAGAATGATATACATAAACATCTAATGTGGTATATTCTGCTTTTCGCTTATGTTAATATGTCAGTCATCTGTCCATATCATTATATATGTCACTACCTCTTTTCTCTCAATGGCTACACATTATTCTATTATTCAGCTACACCATAATCACCATAATATAGCCATTCACTCCTCTAGTCCTGAACACTAAATGATTTTTGTTTGCTTTGGTCAGACTTTAATAAACAATGCTACATTCAACACTCTCACATGTAATCTTGTGGGAATACTTTTTAATAGGGAATTTGCTAGAAGTAGAATCAATGGTTCAAAGGTTACATACATTTTACCATTTGATGAATTATTGTAAATGGCTGCTAAAAGCTTGTACCAATTTATTCTGTATGAAAGTGCCTGATTCCCCACATCTGTAGTTAATGGTGGTATGTGAAAATTTATATTGAATGTTTTCATATGCATCTTTAAAATTTTGTAAGGCTTTCTGAAAATATGTTAAAAATAATTAATTTCCTCCTTTATATATGTGTCAGGACCAGTACAACTCACTGATCATATTAGGGCAGGGCCCTCTTAAGATCAGGTGGGTTGGGCGGGACATCCTCTGCTACCATCTCATTAAAAGGCCCTTCACCTCTGGACAAGTCATCTGCACAACTGACTTCCAAGATCCTTTTGTGACTCCTCCAAATGACTTTGGTTCCCGTGTTGTACCTGACTTCCACATGGCCTTCTCTCCTGGTCCCTGGTGCTGTTTGGGCCTCTGCTCCCATGCTCATACCTCTTCTTACTCCAATTACTCCACCATCACCTCTCTCCCCTATCACCCCCAGCCTGGACACCTCTCATGCACGGACTGGAGGGCTGCTCCAACCAGTCCTCAGTTCTCTGCCACCCATTGACCTAGAGTCTTGAACCCAATTTAATTTATTGGGTTCTAGGAGAACTGCTGTGTTCTCACCCTAACTTGGAAGAGTGATGTTTCAGTCAAGCAAAGCGATTCCTACCATACAATATAACACTTGTGTGAGGCTCTGTCCTAAATATCTCAATTACCAATATGTGGTTTGGTAGTATTTCTCGCCATGCTTTGCTCATGCGCAATGAGACTACAACTAGGGTGTAAATTTTAAGTATCCCATCTAAAACTCATACAATGATAGGAAAAATCCATTTGTTTTTCATTTGATTTTTACTGAGGAATCAGCTCAATCTTCAATGAATACTGGTCTCTTTCCAAAGCATTTTTGATCAAAGTAAAGACTGAGTCAAGGGCTTTTTTTTTTTCTTTTTCTTGTTTTAAGAGACAGAGCCTTGTTCTATTGCACAGGCTGGACTACACGCATTCACCTAGAGTCTAGAACACAATTTAATTTATTGGGTTCTAGGAGAACTGTCATGAGTATTGATAATATGAGAGTTCTTTATATTCAAACATTATTCTCAACCAGAGATAGGGATGTCATAGAAGAAAATCCATTCATTCAATCATTAATTCACATGTCCATTATGTACCTCCATGAGCTGGACATAACAGCTAATAAGAGATAATTGTCTCTGGTTTTACAGAGCTAATTGTCCCTAAGAGATGTAGACAAATGAACAAGCAATTACAATACATCTAAGCTATACTGGGGGAGGAACAGGGCTGGATAGGTATGCAGAGGAGATAAAAAAATTTTAATTCCTTAGAATATTTTTTAAAAATTGATTCTTATTTTACCTTCTCATCTTCTTATTTTCCAAATTACAGCATATATATATATATATATATATATATATATATATATATATATATATATATTTTTTTTTTTTTTTTTTTTTTTTTTTTAAGTTTTGAAGTGTAGTCGAGCTTGGGCAATTTATCCAACCCATTTAAACCAAAAATAAAACTTTTCATGTATTACCTGGTCATTTCAAACAAAAATATTTTGATCATGAAAAAGAATACCAATATTCTTTTGTTCTAAAAATCTCTTATGGGATTACATGTTATATTTTTGGTTTCTCTCTACTGATCAACAGACTACATTTTCACAACTCTTCTTTCCTTTACGTTTTAACACACAGACCCAAGATTCATACTATTAAGATTCTAGTAGAACTCTAGATGGTATGCCTCTGTGTATCTCAGCATTTTTATTCCCACTCTTGTATAATGAACATGTTAACACCTACCTCACAGGGTTGTTGTGAGGATCAAGTAAGATATTGTGTGTGTGAAGATGCTCTGTGAAATCATAAAGTCCTTTAAAGATGTAAGGTATGCTTCGCAGTGATCTCTCTGAACTGGAATAGCTTTTCCCCGCTGGTATAATGCAGACATTTTTAATCTGTAATCAGAATAGGAGTGAAAGCAAAATGAAAATGCAAGAAGCTGAATAAATGTCATGGCAAAAAGAGAGATGCTCGAGAAAAAGAAAAGATTTTATATTAGATAGAGCAATGCAAGTGTGACCAGATTGCAAATCAATGAGTTTGTCTGAGTCGAGCAGAAGAGCATTAGTTATAAATAAAAGAAGCTACTAAACAGAGTGCACGCCGGAGGGCAGAAGGTGTCAACAGAGGTCAAAACAAAATGTCAGGCTAATAAAACAAGAGTCCAGTCTCTGAAGAACAAAGCATGGGCCCAAGACAATGCTGATGAGAAAATTCCAAGAAAGGTTGAAACAAGTTAGAGTTGTCAATGGTACTCTGGTTTTATGCCTACATGACATTAAAATCTCCAGAAATAAAAGGGAGAGAAGAATTAGCCACTTGTTCAGATACTCCTGACTATTAGCAGGCTAGCAACATTGAATAGCCAGTTTACACAAACATCTAGAGATAAGTTGTAACTCCTTTTCCTTGGTTTAATTTTGTGAGACCTCCTGTCCCATTCTGCACTGCAAGTCAGGTAGAGTATGAGCAGCTTTCTTCAGCAGACCTTGGTCTACATCAGCCACACGATGGCCTCGGTCCCAGAGATGCTGGGAGACAATTCCAGGGATTCAGTTAAAAAGTCATCTGACATCCTAGACTAAATATAGATTTTTCAGTGTGAAAAACTAATCCAAACTTTTCAAATTAGGGAAGAAAGTCTTCTCTCTTTAGACAAAAAATGGATGCTGAATGCCCTGTTCAAATTATTGGCACAAATGGCACAAATTTTATCAACTTTAAAAATGCATAATGAAGAGAAAAGAAGCCTTCACTAAGCTCTAACGCTAGTCATAGTGAATCGTCTGTTGTGTTCTCACCTTAACGCGGAAGAGTGATGTTTCAGTCACACGAAATGATTCCTACCATACAATACAACACTTGTGTGAGGCTCTGTCCTAAATATCTCAATTACCAATATGTGGTTTGGTAGTATTTCTCATCATTCTTTGCTCAAGTGCAATGAGACTACAACTAGGATGTGAATTTTGAGTATCCTATCTAAAACTCAAACAACGATAGGAAAAATCCATTTGTTTTTTCATTTGATTTTTACTAAGGACTCAGCTCAATCTTAAATGAATACTAGTCTTTTTCCAAAGCATTGTTGATCAAAGTAAAGCCTGTGAGGCAAGGGCTTTTTTTTTTTTTCCTTTATCTTTTTTTAAGAGACAGAGTCTTGCTCTGTTGCACAGGTTGGACTACAGTGGCACGACCATAGCTCCCTGCAGCTTTAAGCTCCTGGGCTTAAATGATCCTCCCACCTCAGCCTCCTGAGTAGCTAGGACTTTAGGCACACACCACCATGCTTGGCTATTTAAAAAAATAAAAATAAAAATGGGATCTCACTATATTGCCAAGGCTGGTGCAAACTCTTGGCCTCAAGCGATCCTCCTGCCTCAACCTCCCAAAATCTTGGGATTACAGGTGTGAGCCACTACACCCAACCCAACAGGGTTTTTGGTGCATTATACATTAATCCTCAGAAGAGCATTTGGGTGAAGGACTATTATCCCAATTTCTAGAATTATAAACTGTGGCTTACTGCTAATAAGTGGAAGAACAGAAACTCAAAGCCAGGTCTTTAAATCTCCAAAGTCCTTATGACTCCATTCAATATTCCCACACTAGTATTATGTATTTTTATATATATCACAGATATGTCATGTGGAGGGTATGCAAAGAGAAAGAGAGGGAAAGAGAGAAAGAGATAGATAGAGAGAGAGAAAGGCAGAAAAGGAAGAAATTTGTAATGAGCAGTTTGGTTTTCTAGAATGGGCCTAGTAATTTGAAGAGCTAAAGAGATAAAAATTCTTACGGCAGATCAAATTCCAAATAAGCATTCTCAGTTATTCTTTATTTGTTTGTGTTTCCACCTTCATAACTACTCCAGCTATTGCCTCTAGTCTCCCTCCTAAGGATATTACTCAGAAACATAGTCTTCCTAGAATGCTCACAAAGCTTCCATTATCACTAATGAGAGCTACTTATGTGCACCTGGGGAAGAGCTACCTGTTAATATTCTATCTTTATTTTGCTAACGGGCTCAGCCTTAACATTTTTCACTATTATTTGGCTGCTCCAATGTCTCTCTTTTTTTATTGTGTCTTTTTTTTTAACTCCATAATGTACTTTCTTAGTAGCACTAGTTATGAGTTAGCAGAACTGAGTGTACCTGAGTAGGGATGGTTCCAGGTAACTTAGGTAAATGCTGCTCATCCTTGACAGTTACATGGTGTTTAGAGCTTTCTGTGGGTTCACAAATTAGCGGTGGCTCACACGTGTAATCCCAGCGCTTTGGGAGGCCAAGGTGGGTGGATCACAAGGTCAAGAGATTGAGACCATCCTGGCCAACATGGTGAAACCCTGTCTCTACCGAAAATACAAAATTTAGCTGGGTGTGGTTGTGCATGCCTGTAGTCCCAAATACTTGAGAGGCTGAGGCAGGAGAATCGCTTGAACCCAGGAGGCAGAGGTTGCAGTGAGCTGAGATCATGCCACTGCACTCCCGCCTGGAGACAGAGCAATACTCCTTCTCAAAAAAAATGCAGCATTCCATTAACACAATAGATGTGTTCCTTAATAGAGTGTATAGCTAATACAGGCATACTGTGGACATATTGTGGTTTCAGTTCCAGACCAAGGCAAAAAAAAAGCAATTATCACAATGAAACATGCCAGACAAATTTTTTGGTTTCCCAGTGCATATAATAGTTATATTTACACTACACTGGAGTCTATTAAGTGTTCTTTAATTTTTAAAATACTTTATTGCTAAAAAATGCTAACAATCATTTGAACCTTCCGGAAGTTGTTATCTTTTTCTGGTGGAGGGTCTTGCCTCCGTGTTGATGGCTGCTTACTAATCAGCGTGATGGTTGCTGAAGATTGAGGTGGCTGTGGCAATTTCTTAAGACAACAATGAAATATGCCACGTTGATGGAGTCTTCTCCTCATGAGAGATTTCTCTGCTGCATGCAATGGATGCTATTTGATAGCATTGACCCACTTTAGAACTTCTTTCAAAATTAAAATCAGTCTTCTCATACTCTGCTGCTGCTTTGTCAACTAAATCTATATGATACTCTAAATCCTTTGTTGTCGTCTCAACAATGTTCACAGCATCTTCCCTTCAGGAGTAGGTTGTATCTCAAAAAAACCCTTTCTTTGCTCATCCATAAGAAGCAACCCCTAATCCATTCAAGTTTTATCGATTGCAGCAATTCAGCCACATCCTCAGGCTCCACTTCTAATTCTAGTTCTCCACTTCTCTTATTATTTATACCACATCTGTAGTGACTTTCTCCATTAAAGTCTTGAACCCCTCACAGTCATTCATGAGGGTTGGAATCAACTTCTTCCAAATTTCAGTTAACCTCAATACTTTGACCTTCTCCCATGAATTATAAATTATTTTAATGCCATATAGGATTGTGAAACCTTTCCAAAAAGTTTTCAATTTACTTTGCTCAGACACATCAGAGGAATCACTCTCTGTGTCAGTTACAGCCTTACAAGATGTATTTCTTAAGTAATAAGACTTGAAAGTAAAAATTAATCCTGGATCCATGGGCTACACAATGGATATTGTGTTAGCAGGCATGAAAACAACACCAGTCTTTCTGTCCATCTCCATCAGAGCTCTTGGGTGACCAGGTGCACTCTCAATGAGCAGTAATATTTTAAAAGGATTTTTTTTCTCAGCAATAAGTCTCAACAGTAAGATTAAAATATTCAGTAAACCATGCTGTCAACAGACGTGCTGTCACCCAGGCCTCATTGTCCTATTTCTAGAGCACAGGGAGAGGACATTTAGCATAACTCATAAGGGCCCTAGAATTTTCAGAATAGCAAATGAGCATTTCCTTCAACTTAAAGTCACTGGCTGCATTAGCCCCTAACAAGGGAATTAGCCTATACTTCAAAGCTTTGAAGTCAAGCATGAACTCCTCTCTAAGTATGAAAGTTATAGATGGCATCTTTTTCAACAGAAGCTGTTTCATCTACATTGAAAATCTGTTGTGTAGTGTAGTAACCTTCATCAATTATCCTAACTAGATCTTCTGGACAATTTTCTGAAGCTTCTATATCCACACTTGCTAAATCATCTTGTACTTTTATGTTATGGAGATGGCTTCTTTCCTTAAACCTTATGAACCAACCTCTGCTAGCTTCCAACTTTTCTCCTGCAGTTTCCTCACCTTTCTCAGCCTCCATAGAATTGAAGAGAGGTAGAGCCTTGCTCTGGACTTGGATTTGTCTTAAGTGAGTGTCATGGTTATTTTGATCATATATGAAGGCCACTAACTAAAACTTTATATCGGCAATAAGGTGGTTTGTTTTCTTATTATTTTTGTGTTCACTGGAGTGGCACTTTTAATTGCTTTCAAGAACTTTTTCTCACATTTACAACTTAGGTAAATTTCATACTTTCAGCCTGTCTTGACTTTCAACCCGCCTTTCTCACTAAGGTTTATCATGTGTAGCTTTTGATTTAAATGAGAGATGTGCCACTCTTCCTTTCAATGGAACACTTAGAGGCCGTTGTTAAGGTTACTAATTTGTTTAATTTCAATATTGCTGTGTCTCAGGGAATAGGGATGCCTGAGGAGAGGAAGAGAGACAGAAGGGGGAACAGCCAGTTGGTGGAGCAGTCAGAATACACACAACATATATCAACTAAGTTTGCCATCTTTTACGGGCATGGTTTGTGGTTCCCCAAACTAATCACAGTAGTAATCTCAAAGGTCACTGATTGCCATAACAAATGCAAGGGGTCTTCAAAAAATCATGGAAAATATGTATTAGGAAAACACTATACATGGATTTCAAAAATTCTGCACTAAAACAAGCTAGCTTATTATAACATGTCTGAATAGAATCTAATTTGATGCACTAAGAACAATAAGGTATCTATTTAAAAAGAGCCCCTATCAGAGCCACATAAATATTGCTAAAATGGAACCAAGAACACACATGAAATTTATGATGAAACTTGTTTGGAAGAATGGTGAAATCACCGATACTTTATGAAAAGTTTATAGGCACAATGTCCCAAAGGAATCAGCAGTTGACAAAAAGAGAACTCAGTTTTACAAAGGGATAAGAAAATATTGAAGATGAACCCTGCAGCAGCTGACTATCCACGTCAATTTGTGAGGAAAAAAATACATCTTGTTTGTGCCTTAATTGAAAAGAACTGAGACAGCAGAACAACAGCCAACACCACAGACATCTCAACTGGTTTGGCTTGCACAACTGTGACTTAGAAATTAAGGTTGAGTAAAGTTTTTTCTAGATGGGTGCCAAAACTATTGTGTCCAGATCAGCTGCAGACAACAGCAGAGCTTTCAGTGGAAATCTTAAATAAGTGGGGTCAATATCCTGAGGCATTTATTTGAAGAATTATAGGAGAAGATAAAACATGGATTTCCCAGTATAATCCTGAAGACAATGCATAATCAAAGCAATGGCTACCAAGAGGTAGAAGTGTTACAGTCAAAGCAAAAGCAGACCAGTCAAGAACAAAGGTTCTCACAACAGTTTTTGAGGATGCTCAAGTGATTTTTCTTGTTGACTTCCTGGAGGGCCAAAGAATGGTAACCTAGGCTTACTATGAGAGTATTTTGAGAAAGTTATCCAAAGTTTTAACAGTAAACTCCCAGGAAAGCTTCTCCAGGGAGTCTCCATCATGACAATGCTCTTGCTCATTTCTCTCATCAAACTAGGACAATTTTTGGGAGAGTTTCAATGGGAAATCATTGGGCATCTACCTTACAATCTTCATTTGGCTCCTTCTGACTTCTTTTAGCTTCCCACTCTCAAAATATTTTTAAAGGACACCAATTTTTCTTCTTTCAATAATGAGAAGATTACAACATTGATATAGTTAAATTCTTAAGATCCTCAGGTCTTTAGGAATGGACTAAATGGCTAGTATCATCACCTATAAAAGTGTCTTGAACTTGATGGAGCTTATGTTGAGAAGTAAAATTTATATTTTGTGATTTTTACCTTTTAATTGCTTTTTTCCACAAACTGTTTTAATCTCCCCATATTTTACTAATAATGGAAAAGTTTGCAAATCAATAAATGTGATTCACCTCATAAAACTAACAACAAAAACTACATGATGATCTCAATAGATACAGCAAACGCTTCTGATAAAATTCAACACCTCTTCATGTTAAAAACTCTCAATGCAGTAGGTGTTGAAGGAACATATCTCAAAATAATAAGAGCCATCTTTGAAAAACCCACAGCGACATCATATTAAATGGGCAAAACCTGGAAACATTCTGCTTGAAAACCAGCACAAGATAATGATGCCCTCTCCACTACTCCTGTTCAGCATGGTATTGGAAGTCCTGGCCAGAGCAATCAGGCAAGATAAGGAAATATAGGGCATCTACTTTGGGAGGCTGCAGTGGGAAGATCACCTGAGGTAAGGAGTTCCAGACCAGCCTGGCCAAATGGCAAAACCCGTCTGTACTAAAAATACAAAAATCAGCCAGTGTGGTGGTGGGTGCCTGTAGTCCCAGCTACTTGGGGGGCTGAGGCAGGAGAATCACTTGAACCTGGGAGGCAGGGGTTGCAGTGAGCCAAGATCATGCCACTGCACTCCAGCCTGGGTGACAGGGTGAGACTCTGTCTCAAAAAAACAAAACAAAACAAAAAAAGAAATACACAGTATCAAAATAGAAAGAGAAAAAGTCAAACTATCTGTTTGCAGACAACATGATTCTATATCTAGAAAACCCCATAGTCTTGACCCAAAAGCTCTTTCAGCTGATAAACAACTTCAACAAAGTTTCAGGATACAAAATCAGTGTACAAAAATCACTAGCATTTCTGTACACCAATAACAGTCAAGCTGAGAGCCAAATCAGGAATGCAACCCCATTCACAATTGCCACAAAAAGAATAAAATTCCTAGGAATACAGCTAAAAAGGGGAGTGAAGGACTTCTACAAGGAGAACTACAAACCACTGCTCAAAGAAATCCTAGATGACACAAAAAAATAGAAAAACATTCCAAGCTCATGGATAGGAAGAATCGGTATCATTAAAATGGCCACACCACCCAAAGCAATTTATACATTCAATGCTATTCCTCTCAAACTACCAATGACATTCTTCACGTAATTAGAAAAAAAAAAAACCCTATTGTAAAGTGTATATGGAACCAAAGAAGAGCCCAAAGAGCCAAGCCAATTTTAAGAAAAAGAACAAAGCTGGAGATATCATGGTACCTGACTTCAAACTATACTACAGGGGTACAGAACAAAAACAGCATGGTACTAGTACAAAAACAGACACATACACCAATGGAACAGAATAGAGAACCCAGAAACATTGCCAACCATCTACAACTATTTGATCTTTGACAAAGCCGATAAAAACAAGCAATAGGAAAAGGACTCCCTTTTCAATAAATGGTGCTGGGATAACTGATTAGCCATATGCAGAAGACTGAAACTGAACTCTTTCCTTACACCATATACAAAAATCAACTCAAGATGGATTAAAGACTTAAAAGTAAAGCCTAAAACTATAAAAACTCTGAAAGATAACCTATGAAATACCATTCTGAACATAGGACCTGGTAAAGATTTCACGATGAAGATGCCAAAAGCAATTGCATCAAAAATAAAAATTGACAAATGGGTCCTAATTAGAGAGCTGCTGCACCACAAAAAAAAAAAAAAAAAAAAAAAACTATCAACAGAGTAAACAGATACATAGAATGGGAGAAAATATTTGCAAACTATGTATCAAAAAATGTCTAATATCCAGAATCTGTAAGGAACTTAACAAGCAAAAAATAAACCTGACAAAAAATAGGCAAAGGACATGAACAGACAATTTTCAAAGGAAGACGTACACGTGGCCAACAAGCATATGCAAAAATGTTCAACATCACTAATCATTAGAGAAATGCAAACCAAAAGCACAATGAGATACCACCTCACACCTGTCAGAATGGCTGTTTATTAAAAAGTCAAAAAATTACAGATGCTGTGGTGACGAGTTCGTGGAGAAAAGAGAATGCTTATCGTCTGCTCATGGAAATGTAAATTAGTTCAGTTATTGTGGAAAGCACTTTGGTGGTTTATCAAAGAACTTAAAACAGAATTACCATTTGACCCAGCAATCCCATTACTGAGTATATACCCGAAGAATACAAATCGTTCTACCATAAAAACACATACTCTCATATGTTCATCACAGCACTATTCACAATAGCAAAGACATGGAATCAACCTAAATGCCCATCATTGGTAGACTGGATAAAGAAAATGTGGTACATATACACCGTGGAATACCATGCAGCCATACAAAAGAATGAGTCACGTTCTTTGAAGGAATATGGTTGGAACTGGAGGCCATTATCCTTACAAACACACACACAAGCAGAAAACCAAACACTTCATGTTCTCACCTATAAGTGGGGACTGAACTTTGAGTAGATACGGACACAAAGAAGGGAACAACAGACAGTGGGGTCTACTTGAGGGTGGAAGGTGGGAGGAGGGTGAGGATCGAAAAGCTCTCAGCTGCTATGCTTATTACCTCGAAGACAAAATAATCTGTGTCCACCAAATTGCCACGACACGCAATTTACCTATATAACCAACCTTCACAGGTACGCCTGAACCTAATATAAAAGTTTTAAAAAATGAAATAAATCAATTTGTCACCATGTTAATATACTTAAAGATAAAATACAGTGCTCATCTAAGTGGGGGCAGAAGAAAGCATTTGAAACAAAGGAAAAGTTTGAAATGCTGTGAGAATTTGCAAAATGTGACACAAAGACACAAAGCGAGCACATGCTATTGGAAAAATGACACTGACAGACTTGCAGGACACAGAATTACCACAAATTTTCAATCTGTAAAACATGCAGGATCTGTGAAGTGCAATAAAGTGAAGACCAATAAAACAGGATATACCTGTATGTTGTGTCGTTTGAAATAGAGATTTAAATCAATTATGGATCCAGCAGTTAGCACTTGTCCTGCTTAGTCCCTATCCCAGCTGACTCTCACAGCCTCACTCTCACCAGAACCAATTAGAAGGAAAAACATCAGCCCCATTTTTCACAGCAGCAAAAGTGGAAATTCATGCAATTATGTGCAGGAATGCAGATGAAGCAGAGGCCCAACACTCCACTTCCCTTTCCTCCATAGCCTGAGTACCAAGTACCTTTCCTGCCCTTTGAAGAAACAACTCCAGGCTTCCTATTCTGCAGTAAGAAATTTAGCCTGATACTCACACAAGATTATTTATTTTGCTCAAATTCAAGCACTGGACTTGTATGGGCTCACAGCCTATTATTTGCCCCCTTCAGCCGATCGTCTCTGGAAATGTCCTGCCCTTAAGATGTAAATCTTTTTTAGGGCGTGTTGAGGGGATAGTCTCTTTCTGTGACCCAGGCTGGAGTGCAGTGGCATGATCTTGGGTCACTGTAATCTCTGCCTCCTGTCCTCAAGTGATCTTCCCACCTCAGCCTCCCAGGTAGCTGGAACTACAGGCACAGGTCACCACACTCAGCTGTTTTTTAAAATTTTTTGTAGGGAACGGGGTTTTGCTGTCTTGCCCAGGCTGGTCTCTAACTGCTAAACTCAAATGATCTGCCTGCCTTGACCTCCCAAAGTGCTGGGGTTACAGACATAAGCCACGGCACCCAACCTGAGGTGAATCTTAAGACGAGATTTCCTAGAACGACACAGTTGGCTTGTTTCACATGGAGTCTCCAAGAAATTCCCCCATTATGGCTTAGCCTACAGACTCTTAATCCTTTCCCGGATGCTGTAGTTATTTTCATTTTCTACTTCTTACTCATATCCTGCTTAATCCATGCCAAAGTAAAACATTGGACCCTCAGGTATTTTAGGGACCTATATAAAGGAATTCTAATGTGAATTATTTAGCAAAATGACCCATTTCCTAATGACGTTTTATATAATTCTGCATTTTTATTTCCTAGAAAGTTCAAAGAACAAGTAAACCTCTTTAACTGCATACAAATATTCAGTTTCTGTGTACAGTATTTTCACTAAAACTTCATATGATTTACAGCAAAACTTATTTCCCCTATAAAATGATTATGTTTTATTATAAAACATCTTCCACCTCGAACTCTTCCCTGTTGCATTCTCACTTAATCCTGTTACCCAGTACATTACCTGCACCTAGAAATACTATTTCTGCACCAAAAGGACATGTGCTTTATCAATCACAGAGTGTAAGCTAACAAACATATTATTATTATTAACGTATTAAAACATCTAATAGGTCCTTCGTAAGTACTTATGTCATTTTTGAATAAAAATCAGCTTTTAAAGTAGGTGTTTTAGGGACAAAGTGATTATTTTCGGAAAAGAGATTTTCAGTGTGTTCAAATCACAACATAGCAAGTATGGTAGCTTAACTCCACCTATAAATTAAAGAAGCAGCTTGTATTTTTAAGTTTATATGCACTGAAGTATGCTATTTCTCGTTTGCAAGTAAAAACATAACATAAGTGAAAAAAGAAAACGTATTAGTCTGCTTGGGCTGTCAGAACAGAATACCACAGATAAAGTAGCTTAAATTATAGACATTTATTTCCTCAGAGTTCTTGACATTAAAAGCCCATGATCAAGCTGGGGGCAGGATTGGCTTCTCCTGAGGCTTCTCTTTGGCTTGCAGACGGCCCCCTTCTCATTGTGACTTCATGAGGCAGTTTCTGTGTGAGCACTGAGCTCCTGGTGTCTTTATCTCTTCCGATAGGGCACCTGTCCTATCAAGTTAGGATTCTGCCCTTATGACCTAATTGAACCTGAATTACCTCCATATGGCCTCTATCTTTAAATATAGTCACATTGGGGACTTCAGCATACGAATATTGGAGCGACACAATTCAGTACATAATAGGAAGGTATCAAGAATTGATCCTCTGTCTGTGGGCAGGATCTCTGCAGCACACGGCTGGAACTGTTTCAGGATGAATTCAGTTTTCTTTGTCTATGTTTCTGTAACTTTGTTCTTAAAGAGGGCCTAAATTGCACCATAAGTAAATTTGATGCATTCTGGTGTTTTTATAGTTATGAGAACAATTTCACTTTTGTTTACTGCCAATATTGTGTATTTACATTTCAGTGATGTTCTTTTACATTGTCTCATGAGATAATAAAAATTACCAGAATAATGCTGTTTAAACAGACAATAACCAATGGTGATGGGATTAATGACAAACAGGATGACCTGGGCAATCACTTCTAATATTCTTTGACAAATAATCACCATGGAGATATTTGTAAGAACTGTTAAGTGGAAAGTAACAGAAACATCTTTAATCACAAAATAGAGTCTATTGGTTTACATAATTAAGAATTACAATTCCCACAGATGGCTTCAGGCATAGCAGGATCCAGGTGTTCAAAGTAAATCATTTGGACTCAGTCTCGCTCTCTCTTTCTCTTTAGATATGTTATATTCATTGTGAAGTCAGCTCTTGTGTGGCATTATCTTAACATCTAGCCATGGCTAAGAAAGAATGCCGCATTTTTTCCTTCAAAATAACTCTGTCTCTACTTTTGATCCTGAGCTTTCCCCTTGACAAGCTATTGTGTGTAGAGATAAGATATACTCATTGCCTAACCCGAAAAGATAATTACCAAATGGTGGATAAGACAAGATTTGCTTTAAAAATCTCAGAATGCAGGGTCCAGGGCACTAAAAAGTGGATCAAACTCACTATCTTGTTCAATCATGTTTAGAAATAGTCTTGCTGATTGCTTATTGGGCGGCGATGTATTAGTTTAATTCTTCCATAATGCGAATGATTTGTAACTCTCTAAGTGGTCATATGTATTCTAGTATTGTTCTAGAAGTTGGGCTCAGGATATGGTGAACATCAGAATGACTCGTGAGGCTTTTATCATATAAAGATGCCTGGACATGACACACAGATATTCTGATTTCAGGGAGTTTGTGCTGTGGCCTTGATACATGTGATTTCCAAAAGTTCTCCTTGGGATTCTGAAGCACAAAGTAGTTGAGAAACTGCTATTTAATATATGATACTTTTTTTCTCCCATCACCTATTCCCCATCATTAGGCCAGAAATTTGAATTTTTAAGAAATAATAGTATCAATAATACCTATAATGTGTAGAATGAACCCTCTGTACCAGACACTCTGAAAAGCACTTTATATACCTCCTTTACTTAATCCCCACAAGGAATCTATCACTCTGGTGTTCTCCCCATGAGGATTTAGAACCATTAAGTAAACTGTGCAAAATTATACCTATGGCCGGGTGCAGTGGCTCATGTCTGTAATCCCAGTACTTTGGGAGGCCAAAGCAAGCAAATCGCTTGAGCTCAGGAGTTGGAGACCAGCCTAGGCTACGTGGTGAAATCCCGTCTCTTCAAAAAATACAAAAATATCTCCTCTTGACTCTGTCCCAAATACTTGTCTCCCTGGCTTTAGGAGTAACACAATATGTTATGTTATTTTTCTAGAGAAATTTTCTAGAGAAATTTAACTCAGTTTCTTCAGGTATCTGATATTTGGGTTGCACATTTCATTGCTAAGTATCTCATTAAGGTAATTATCTTAAATAAAGAATCAGTTATCTTCTTAAAGGAATTTTGCCATGTTGTGAGAACTTTCAGGTCAAACTGCAACCAGATTTTTTTTTAATTTCTGTATTATGTTTGCATCTCAAATATCATAACTACCATTGTAATAAATTTAACCCTAAATCCTAATTCCAATAAATGATACAAAAAGGAAATCATGACTATGAGTAAACAATAGGATAATAACTGTTATGCTCCTCAAAAGTCATTTCTATGTTCGATTATTTCTTTCCACTGAGTAGTGGTAATTGACACATGCAAAGAAGACCTTACATGTTCCCTGACTTTTCAAGTTTGAATGTTGTCTTTCTAACAGCGATGAATAGATTCGTAGTATCTTTTCTCTAACTTTTAAGGGTAGACTCATATATGGAACACTTTAAATAATTTGTGCAGGGTTCAGGTATGGCTCTGTGAACATTGCAGTGAATGTGTTGTTTCCTTCTTTAAATAAAATATATTTCAAAAATAAAGAAAAGAAATAATATTTATAATAAATAGCTAATACACAGTCATGTGTACCACTTGGACCTTTGAAATGTTCACATTTACCATCTTGATTACAAGTATTTGTTTTTTAAGAGATATAATTTTGGCTGGGTGCAGTGGCTCATACCTGTAATCACATCACCTTGGGAGGCCAAGGCAGGAGGATCACTTGAGCCCAGGAGTTTGAGGCTGCAGTGAGCTATGACTGCACCACAGCACTTCAATCTGGGAGACACAGGGACACCTTATCTCTAAAGAAAAACTTTTAAAAATTTTTAAAAGAAATACAATGTTATGAGCAGAGTTGAAGTACCAGTATGTCTACCTGTCTTCCTTTCCAGGGTAAACCTTTATCCTGGAGTTTGTTTCCTTCCGTTCATGTTTTTGTGCATTTACTACATATGTATGTACTATTCTTATGTCCCAGTTCTTTCCTAAAGAAAGGATTGAAACTTCTCTGAAACTAGCTAACTCATTGTCATAGAGATGTAAAGAAATGGGACATAAGAATAGTGAGATTGCCTTTAAAAAGTTAAACTATAGAATGAACATTCAATGAATCAGCAGAGATATGTCAAATCATTTTACCTGACTGAATGTATTAACATATATAAAGAAAAATGTGTTAACGAAAGATCATTGGCCATCCCAGAAGCAAAATCTCACTGCTAAGTCTCTTTGTAAATTAATAAATTAATTAAACTAAGAGTTCACTCACTGTGATTTGCCTTCCCATGCAGATTTCCCAAGGGGAGAAAGTGGCCTTGTCAAGCAGATTCAAATATTCCAGTTTTTAAGGCAATTACATTTCTCATTGTAAATTGAATTGACATTTAGTCCCAAGATTCTGTTTAACATTAGTCTGCCTCTAAGAGATAGATCTGCTCACTGAGCTGACAAGATCAGATTTTCTAATGTCTCAGGCTTCTCTGATCAGAGCCTCCCACCAAAAGCTCGTATTTGGAGAGGCTCTCAGTAGCCAGCCATATGGGTTTTTTTCCATAAAAACACTTATGTTTATGCCAGTTAAATCAATCTTTCCTTCATGATTTTTCTGTTTCTACTCATAGAAACTATATTCTATTCCCTCTGAAGACTTATGAAATATTAAATTCAGTTTCTTCTATGATTTGATATTTTAAGCATTTGCCAATTTAATCTCACTGGGTAATGCAGTTCATGTATCAAGAGAAGCTTACCATTCATTTATTTACTCATTCATGCCATAACTCTTCCTCAAGTGACTACTGAGTGACAACTTGCATCTTGTCAGATGCTGAAAAGATGACTATAACGGGTTTCTTTCAGTCTACTGGGGAAAACAAACAAGTTTACTGCAGTTTGGTATAGCATCTGTAATAGTGCTATTGAGTAACCAATCGAAATTTGGAGATTGAGAGTGTAGAAATGAGAGGGGAAGTGGGAAGGGAAGAAGGAACATTCCAGACAGGAACCAAAGCCCCAGAAATAAAGGAGAATGAGACTTATTTGGAAAATGTGAGTAGTTATATATAAAGTAAAAAGACAAAGCAGTGCAGGTGGGGAGAATTTCTCAAGGGTTAGGTTGGAAAGGTGAGCAGAGATTAAGCATGACCTTATTTATTCCACAAGTCACTTGACAAGAGTATTCCCAGGAAATCCTCTATCATTCTCGTCTACTATGTTTGTAATTCTACCAGGGATTCCCAAACTTTTTCTGTAAAGAAACAGCAAATATTTGCATAAATGCACCAAGATTATTAAAATATCTTTTATGGAATGGACTTAAGATTTTTTGTCTGCTCAAAACTCTTTCAACAAGGAAATGCCTCCCCATTCTCACTGTGGGAATGCCATGTTCATGCAAGTGACTCGGCCTGTTTGTCCAGTCCACAGGTGGGCATTTGGCCCAAACTAGGCCATAGAAGAACTTCCCTGGATATTTTAGAAACTATCACTAAGAAATAGGCTGTAAAATATCAAGTTAGGTGAGTGTCAGAACTGTCAGTCTGTCACTGAGAAAGAGACAGTAACTGTCATCAAGAAAGAAACTGTAAAATATAAACTTAGGAGCTGTTAACAGACATGTTCTATCAAGTGAACAGGAGAGCAAAGATATCTAGCTTGCAACAAAAAAAGAATAATAAAGCAACCTACAGAAAGAAGCTTGAGTACAAGTTGGAGACTCCTAAGCAGATTCGGGTCTTGGGTCAGCTATTGCAGATACCTAACTATAATCTTATCCTTGGGTTCTATGAAACATCCAGTGTCCTTAAAATACATTATTATTTTGGTTTTGGTTTAAATTACTTTAGTTTCTGTTTCTGTTTTTTCACCAATTAAAAAATAATAATACACGAAATCGTTTAGGCACATAGTCTATGCTTATCTGTGTTTATTTGATTTGAATGTAGAAAATGTCTACACAAATAAAGAGGAAACAGCTATCCAGACACACACACACACACACACATATACATGTCTTCTGAAATCTTTATATACAAGATAAAAATACCCAAATGGAAAAAAAAAAAGCCCTATCTGACTAAATATATTAGCTTGTTGCCAAAGAAACGACAGACATTCTTTACATCTTTGTGACAGTGAATTAGCTACTTTCAGAGAAGTTTTGATCCTTCAGTCTTACAGAGAAAATCCTATGATCAAGGTTGATGACAAAATGAACTTTTCTACATCACCAAAACAGAGCAGTTGAATAGTAGGTGAAGCCAACTCTCAAATGAGTCTACTGACCTATTGAGACGCCTTTCCTCTATATTACTTCAGAGATGGTCAAGGATCAGCAATGTGTGGTCACCTGTCAATAGTTTATTTATAACTGAAAAATATTTCAGGTGACAGATATGGATCAGCATACCCAAGCATATTTGGCCCTAAAGAATTTGAATAGAGGGCCGGGTGCCGTGGCTTATGCCTGTAATCCCAGCACTTTGGCAGGCCGAGTCGGGCGGATCACGAGGTCAGGAAATCCAGACCATCCTGGCTAACACGGTGAAACCCCGTCTGTACTAAAAAATACAAAAAATTAGCTGGGCGTGGTGGCAGGCACCTGTAGTCGTAGCTACTCCGGAGGCTGAGGCAGGAGGATGGCTTGAACCCGGGAGGTGGAGCTTGCAGTGAGCCGAGATCGCGCCACTACACTCCAGCCTGGGAGACAGCAAGACTCCGTCTCAAAAAAAAAAAAAAAAAAAAAGAATTTGAATAGAGGTACCTACTCCCCCTCAGGATCCCTTGAGCATACGGAATTTGGCAGAAATTTACAGTCAGCCATTCCCTTTGCAATAAATGAGATGAAAGGATTGTATCAGCAGCACTATCTGTTTCTGATATAATATGTCTCCTCTTCTAAATATATACTGCAATCATCTAGGTTAGTGGTTCTCAAAGTGTGGTCCCTGGACCAACAGAATTAGCTGTTGGGAGCTTGTTCTGCTGCATATTATTCTTTGAGAACCACTGCTCCAGGACAAGCAAGGCTCATTTATGACATTTTGGAAGGAGTAAGAGGTAAACAATGGGCAGTGAGAATGCTTACATTCACTTGTTTGGACAACAGGACAACGATGCTCATATAATCAAATGTTTGAGTATGCCTGATTTTTCATAGCATGCATGCATGATAAATATATTATGTTTGGATATATTTGACTTGTATAAAAATAAACATTTGGATATCACACTAGTTAATAAAACATGTCTCTAATATGTAAAGGCTTCTCACAATCCATTCTTGGATTTTTCTTTCTCGTTTTCTTTAGGCAATTACAGGAAATGATTGGGCCACTCAGGAATTTTACTAGTAAATGAAAGTTGAAATACTATAATAACAAATTATTTTCATGTTTTAAAGTGTTTTTAACTTATGCTTATTAAGTGAAGAAGGACTTATCCACTCAGGCATGCTTACACTAAATCAGTATTTAGCACTGAATTATATTTTGGAAGAATCAAGAGAATAATTATAATTATATATATAGTAACATGCCACCTTTTATGTTTCTGCATAGCTCAGGTCACTCAATTTCATTACAGGAAATTGTCAGTAATCTAATAACTTTAAATGTTATTAAATTACTGTTAAAACAGTAATAAGCATAAGTTAAAAACATTTGTTGAAACAGTAATCTAGTAACTTTAAATGTTATTAGATTACCGTTCTAACAAAATGAATTCAAACTGGAGAAAAAGAAGTTACTGAATATTTCTTCAATTAATTGAGCTCCAAAAACCCATTCCTTAAAACTCCATTTTCACATTAGAGAGATATTTTTGTTATGAAAATTACATCTTTTTTATAATATAACATTCCTCAAACTTATATTTGAAAAGCTATCTTTTGTTTACGTAGAATTACATTTATTAGTTTTTATGATTATTAGAAAATATTATTTTTATTTAATATTAACTAAATTTTTAAAAATAATTTTTCATCTCTGCCTTTCATTCTGTTCTTTAGCCAAATAATTTTCTAAACAAATACTTAGCAGAATAATACAGGCTGTTGAGAGATTTTTCATACGCCAAGTGAATTGCTCTTATAATATTTGTTGCACTATTTTATTTAATCTGTCACTAGGTCAAAGTGCATATATATTGGTTTTTAAAAATAGAAAAGAGCCATTTCATATTTATGTAAATCTTTCTGTAGCATGATCAAGATTTTACAAAAGTTTATTGTACATATGGTCATTTTGATTAGACATTACAGAACAAAATTACTTTTATAATTATAAACAAAGTTTATTTCTTTGTAGTTTACTATTTGAATCACTTCTAAAAATAAACAAAATTGTCTGATTTTTTATCTCGTTAATATTTTTTTCTAAAGAGGAAAAACACAAAAATCTTTGTTACAGAATCCAGGAACCTCACAACAAGGAAAGTCTTTGCTATTTCTAAATGAAGGTTGTCACTATAGTTCCCTTGTTTCCCTTGGGAAAAGATATGAAGTTTGATCACCTATTTTTGTGTTTATGATATTCTAAAATATCTGCTCCTCGCCCTCCTATAGTATTGAAAATCTCTGCATTGTATGTTGATAAGTTTGTATGTTTGTATGTCAAGAAAATAATGAACCATTTAGTTATAATTTTTCAATGGTATGAAAAAATCTAAGTGACAATAAACTTGTATCTGTCAAAATTCAAACTCGTTGGAATATAATCTGTGACGTGTCCTCGTATATATAACTTACATGTAAGACAGATTGGATTTTGCTCTTAACAGCTGTTAAAGCTGCAATATTTGCAGTTAAACTCTTTACCAATAGGTGGTGCTAGAAAGTTTAATATTTATTCCAATAGTTGAAGTTATTTGGAAAATGTGCTAAACATTTTTTTGTGTTTAAAAAAAAAGTGCTGTAAAGCAGTATGTACATAATTAGTCCTTGCTTGCCTTTTTTTTTTTTTTTTTTTTTTTTTAACTTTACAGCTCCATTTACGAAAGTTCGACTGGTCGGTGGGAGCGGCCCTCACGAGGGGAGGGTGGAGATACTCCACAGCGGCCAGTGGGGTACAATTTGTGACGATCGCTGGGAAGTGCGCGTTGGACAGGTCGTCTGTAGGAGCTTGGGATACCCAGGTGTTCAAGCCGTGCACAAGGCAGCTCACTTTGGACAAGGTAATTTAAAGAAAATCTTGTGAGGTTTGTTGTTGTTGTTTCAGACAGAGTCTCATTCTGTCGCCCAGACTGGAGTGCAGTGGCGCGATCTCGGCTCACTGCAACCTCTGCCTCCCGGATTCAAGCGATTCTCCTCCCTTAGCCTGCCTAGTAGCTGGGACTACAGCCGCGCGCCACCACACCCGGCTCATTTTTTGTATTTTTAGTAGAGATGGGGTTTCACCGTGTTAGCCAGGATGGTCTCGATCTCCTGACCTCGTGATCTGCCCGCCTCGCCAACCTAAAGTGCTGGGATTACAGGCGAGAGCCACCGCGCTTGGCCAGAAAATTTTGTTTTTAAAAAAATGAAATGTAGGCATTCTCTAAAGACAGAGAATAAAGTAGTGACAGGAACATAGTCTAGGCTTGGTACAGTGGCTCACGCTTGTAGTCCCAGCACTTTGGGAGGCTGAAGTGGGAAGATCACTGGAATAAATGAGTTCAAGACCAGCGTGGACAACATAGTAAGATCCTATCTCTACCAATTAAAAAAAAAAAAAAAAAAAAAGCCAGGCGTGATAGCATGCACCTGCAGTCCTAGCTACTACAGAGGCTGAGGTGGGAGGGTCGCTTGGGCTCAGGAGTTCCAGGTTACATGAGCTATGGTCACGCTGCTGCACTCCAGCCTGGGTGACAGAGCAAGACCTGTCTCTGAAAAACAAATTTTTACAGAAAAGTAGAAAAAGGTAAGATGAACTTCTCAAATGCCTAGAAGATATTACCAAGTGCTAATATGCTATGATTTATTGAGTAATGACTATATGCCACGCATTGTGTTAAATACCTGCATAGCGTTAATAATAGGTCACAATCACATCCTTTACTATTTTACCTAAAATAATTTTCATATTAGGCTGGGCATGGTGGCTCACACCTGTAATCCCAGCACTTTGGGATGCTGAAGGTGGGTGGATCACTTGAGGTCAGGAGTTCGAGATCAGCCTGGCCAACATGGTGAAACCCCATCTCTACTAAAAATACAAAAATTAGCCAGGCATGGTGGTGCACGCCGGTAATCCCAGCTACTTTGGAGGCTGAGGCAGGACAATTACTTGGACCCAGGAGGTGGAGGTTGCAGTGAGCCGAGCTGCACTCCACCCTGGGTGACAGAGTGAGATTCCGTCTAAAAAAATAATGATAATAATTATCATATTAGGTTTAAGAGATGGATTTAAGCAGAAGTCTCAGGTTCTAGAGTCTTTAGGTCCCAGAAGGATAATTTAATTTCATGAAGAGAGGAGATGTCAGAAAATAGACTGGTAATGTGCAGAACTTCTGTAGCCAGTTTCAGCCCCTGGCCGTAGTTTTTAACTTGCACCCTAAAGGTTTACATAGAAGAAACAAAGGAAATAAACAGCTTCAGAGAGATCTGTGGAGTTTCCAAATTTTCCATCCCTGTCCCATATTTAGAACATTTTTCCCAGGTTGAAAAGTGTGGGTTTGAAATCATTCTTGCACCTATAAAATTTATCTCCAAAAGTAAAATAGTAAGATATTCTCAAGGTCAACAGCTAGATTTTTGCTTTTGTTTTCTTTGTTTTTCTTTTTTGTTTTTCTGGAGAAGAGGAAAAAGAAAAAATCCTCAACTCTTCATCCCTAGAGAATTGAATGATGCCATCAGTTATTTAACAAGACTGAGCTCCCAATCTGAGTTTCCACATTGGTTTTCTGTTTTGTTTTTGTTTTTGTTTTTTTGGTTTTGGAGACAGATCTCCCTCTGTCACCCAGGCTGGAGTGCGGGGTGTAATCTCGGCTTACTGCAACCTCTGCCTCCTGGGTTCAAGTGATTCTCCCTCCTCAGCCTCCTGAGAAGCTGCGACTACCAGCATGCACCATCACACCTGGCTAGTTTTTGTATATTTGGTAGTTATTTTTGGCTTCCCAAAGTGCTGGGATTACAGGTGTGAGCCACGCCACCCAGCCCACGTTTCCAAATTGTTTTGTGGGAACAGAATCCATTTCTATGATAACTAACATCCACAGAATGAAAGACCATTTATTTAAAATACATAATTGTATAAAACATTTCAAGTGACTGTTACCATCTATGAAGGGGACACCCACAGTTCTAATAGAGGACATAACGAGTCTTATCCATGCTCTTAGTCACCTGGTAAATGACTGATGATTCTTCAGCTTTAGAAATAAAAGATGTTTTGGATTCTCAAGATGTGCTTTTGTTGACAAAATGAAGTATAAAATTTGCCAGTTATTTAGATAATATAATCAATGCAGACAAGCTCAGTATAAAAAAAAGAAAAGTATCCTAAAATACCACTAGTCTGGATGAATTATTTTGATGCTTATATTATGCAGAGATCTGACAAGTCTGTATTTAGCATTGTTTCTTTAAGACAGTGGTTCCCAACCTTTTTGGCACCAGGGACCAGTTTTGTGGAAGACAATTTTTCCACAGACCAGGGATGGGAGAAGGTTTGGGGATGGTTCAAGCACATGACATTTATTGTGCACATTATTTCTATTATTATTATACTGTAATATATAATGAAATGATTATACAACTTATTATGATGTAGATTATTCCACTCACTATGTGGAATCAGTGGGAGCTCTCAGCTTGGTTTCCTGCAACTAGACGGTCCCATCTGGGGCTGATGGGAGACAGTGACACCTGAAGTGTGTTGCTTATGTACAGTCTACTCCATAATCTCACTTTGGTTGCTATCACTGTAGAAAACCCTGCTTCACTAAGATAGCATGTTGGAAATGGAAGCAGGCTTTTCAGTGCTTTTGTGGCAATTTCAGGATATTCTGCTTCGAAAGTTTAATCCAGAATGTATGGAAATTTGAAGTTGTCTCAAACATACCTTTAAAGGCACCAAAAGCAGCTGTACAACTGAAGTACATCAACTCACTTTCGACTCTAAAGCCTGCCATCAGATGCAGCTTGTCACTTTCCACTCACTGACAGGGTTTTTGATATGAGTCTACAAGCAATTGATTTACTATTGTCTCTGTGCCGTCACACCTCTCTGCTAATGTTAATCTTTATTTGCAGCCGCTCCCCAGCTCTAGCATCACGGCTGCAGCCCCACCTCAGATCATCAGACATTAGATTCTCATAAGAAGCGTGCAACCTAGATCCCTCACATGTGTAATTCACAATACGGTTTGTGTTCCTATGAGTATCTAATGCTGCCACTGATCTGACAGGAGGTGGCACTCAGGCGGTAATGTGAGTGATAGGGAGCGGCAGTAAATACAGATGAAGCTTTGCTCACTCACCTGCTGCTCACCTCCTGCTGTGCAGCTTTGTTTCTAACAGGCCATGGACACTATTGGTCCATGGTCTGTGGGCTGGGGACCCCTGCTTTAAGAAACTAGCCCAGTAGTACAGTGGCTGAGGTGAGGCTTTTTCATCTATTACAAAGAGAAAATCAAATGGAGAGCAACAGTAGTAGTATATGTACTTTAATTCAAGGAAAGCTAGTAAGTGCTGGCAACATACAGCCTGTAGTATGAAAGTGAACAAGACGTCATCTCTAGCTTTATTTCTTCTCTGAGCATGAAGCTTTGCCATGGACTTCAAAGATATTTTTCCACTGGAGTTACAAACATAGGTGAGAAAAACATAGCTGAAGACTATTGTCCTAAAATTGTATTAACTTTAAGGCTTAGTCTCATGAGTAAAATAGTATTTTCCTCAAAACTTTTATTCATTCCTGCTTATATCTCTATAAAGTAGGGATTTCTGGTCTAAAGAACTGGTAAGAAAGGAAGATAATAAGTATACTGAGATACTAAGAAGAAAATGGTTTTTTTTAAACTTAAATAAGGAATAGAATGACAGAGTTTAGTCTCATGTGAAGTTACTTACTTGGCTATGTGGAGATAAGTCTCTCAAGTTTTCTTGACATAATTTGTCTAAATTTTCAGGAGGCTGTTTGTTTATGGTAGTTGGTGATTCTATACATTGTCCCAGAGTTTTATTATCATCAAACAATAAAGTGGGTCAGGATTTTGGTTTCCTTTTACATTTTTTCAGCATCTAGTGAAGCAAACTGGAAAGATTAGGAGTTTTCTAACTTAAAAAATTGCAAGTTTAAATTTTAGCTGTGGTTATTGTGTTTCAGAATTTCAATTTCCTTTCCAATAAAATGAGAATAATACTGACCTGGCAGATTTGTTTTGAAGCTTGAGTTAACTAGCATATGGAAAGCACCCAGTACAAAATCTGACTCACAATGTTGTATTGCTCACTACTGAAGGAGATCACTGCTAGCAGCAACACAAACTGTGTTATCACACATTTATTTGCTATTCTCTTTGAAAGAGTGAGATCGCTATTACATTGTATATTGACATCAGTGATATTCCAAGGCTAATTCAAAGTAGATATCCCACTAATATGACTTAGATTTTTTATTTTATAGACAGGGTCTTACTCTGTCACCTAGGCTGGAATACAATGGTACAATCACAGGTTAATGCAGCCTCAAACTCCTGCTCTCAAGCGATCCTCCCACCTTAGCCTGCAGAGTTTCTCGGGACCACAGGCCTGCACCACATACCTGGCTAATTTTTTTTTAAATCTTAATTTCTTATAGAGACAGGTTCTTGCTAAGTTGCTCAGGCTCATCTAAAACTCCTAGCCTCAAGCAATCCTCCTGCCTCAGCCTCCCAAAGTACTGGAATGACAAGTGTGAACCACTGCACCTGGTTTGACTTAGCTGTTGTTTCCACTCCCTGCGTAGAGTTCAGTACCAAACAACTAAAGAATAATTATGAGAATTTTAAAATAATAAAGCAAAATGAGCTGAGAGAAAAAAATAGAACCAACATTATTTGTTCTGAAGAAAATGATTTGAAAAGTAAGTTTTATGATCTACTTCACTGGATATTGTATTTTAAGAGACAGGCTTACATTATTCACTGATTGGGGATTAGACATGGCAAACGAGGTTTTTATGGAAAGCTATTTAAAACATTCCTGATTTTTTCACTCCTCCACCTTAAATTCACAGTTTCACTCAAGAGGAAAAGAAAAAGCAATTTTAAATACAGAGTAGAGACAAGAAAAGAAACTTAGAAAAATGAGTGGATGAGTAAAGAACTAAAAGAGAAACATGCATTGTTTTAATTATTTATCCTTCTCTTAGGAAAGTGAGAAGAATCAGGTTCATATCATATTGTACATCATTACCAAAATTGAAACAAAAAGAAAACAATTTTTTTTTCGAGATGGAGTTTCGCTCTTGTTGCCCAGGCTGGAGTGCAGTGGCACAATCTCGGCTCACCGCAACCTCTGCCTCCCAGGTTCAAGCGATTCTCCTACCTCAGCCTCCCAAGTAGCTGGGATTACAGGCATGCACCACCACACCCAACTAATTTTTTGTATATTTAGTAGAGACGGGGTTTCTCCATGGTGGTCAGGCTGGTCTCGAACTCCTGACCGCACGAGATCCACCCACCTCAGCCTCCCAAAGTGCTGGGATTACAGGCATGAGCCACTGTGCCCAGCCAGAAAACAATTTAAATGAACCCTCTTTTTATAATGCACCATTATAGAAAGAATATAATTTTTGGACAGTCTCCACATATTTTTTTCTGGTTTTAAATAGCAAACCTGGCTTAGCAGATAGAATCCTTAGTTTTAAGAACAATTAGTTTTGCAGCTGCAGGTAAAATGACTTATAGGAATAAAGTTTCAAGCATGCTCCTTTAAATAGGTTCTCTCATTTGGATGCACCTTTTTTTCTGACTAGACAAAACAAGTTTAATTAAGGAAGCACTGAGGGGCATCTACTGTTTATCAATGCACAGGGCAGGGAAAGGAGAGTGAGTCACTTTTTGCCCCGTATCCAGGCTTTCCCAGCTATTGTGCCTGTGGTCTCCCTGCAGCAAACTTGGATGAGTTTTATCATACAACAGTGGTACCTCCAAGAATTTGTTCCAGGTATATCTGAGCCTGTATGGATGCTGATGAGGGAAGTAAGATCTGGAGTAACTATTGCTTCTTCTCCTGAGTTTATAGTGCTGAAACTCCAAACCTGAAAAGAGAAACAAAAGTAATATATAAACATAAATGCCATTTAAAAGTTATTCTTAGCTGTCTTTTCTTTGCTTTTTTATTACCACTTTTACATACCATAATCAATTTTCTATGTGAAATTTTCAAAAAAAAAATGTAAGGGTAAACAGAAGGCAATCAAAAAATGCACCTCTATACCTCTGAACTATCCCTTAATGAATGGGAGTAAATATAATCTCAAAGATAAATAAATATATCAAAGGGTCACAAGTCAAATTTTTACATACTGCTCCTTGCATGTTGAATGTTTTAAAATGTAAACATTTGAATGTTAAATATTATGGAAAGTAGTATAGGGCTGGTCCATACAGCTGGGTAATCACAGAAAAATAGCATATTTTTTTCATAGAGAAAATAAGTAGGGCTAGCAGAGGTCATCAAAGTTGTACAAATTTACGTAGTCATTATGGTGGTTGGGGGTGGTTGGGGGTGGGTGGGAGTGGGAAGAAGGGTCAAGATTCATGCCTTAACCTTTCTCTCATACCATGCTTTCTCCACCAGATGGAACATCCTTCCAAGTCCTTTATACTTAAGATCTTCATTTCTAAAGAGCTTGCTTCTTCAGAATCTTAGTATCATGAAATATTAAAGGTAGACAAAGTCTTAAAGCTATGTTAGCCTTACTCCTTTATTCTGCATATCATAAAATTGAGGAAAAATGAGTGGTTTCTCTATAAGCACAAAACTACAATCCAAACTATAGGCTATATTGACCCATTCTTCTCTACTTTGATTCCCAAGGTGTTTTCAACTTTAATTTACATTGTTTTTCTCAATGGAGACACTGTTCACAAAACACTTCCCAACTAGGCTTAAAAGTCATACAAATTTATGTCACTCAGTCATGACTAGAAATAATGAAAATACACATTCAGGCACTTTTAACTATTAATGATATTTGCTCTCCCATTTATCTATTCAGCAGCTGATCTCAAATCTCATCATTTTATAATATATCTGGATGATGTATGAAACTGATTACCTTTTATTTTTCATGGAAATGCTGGTAAGATTAAAGATACCCAAATCCCCCAAAGAAATATCAGTATCTTTCATTTTTTAAAAAGAGGTGAAGAGGAGGTCAGGCACAGTGGCTCACCCCTGTAATCGCAGCACTTTGGGAGGCTGAGGTGGGTGGATCACAAGGTGAAGAGATCGAGACCATTCTGGCCAACATGGTGAAACCCCGTCTCTACTAAAAATACAAAAATTAACTGGGCGTGGTGGTGCACACCTGTAATCCCACCTACTCAGGAGGCTGAGGCAGGAGAATCATTTGAACCCAGGAAGCGGAAGTGCAGTGAGCCGAGATCACGCCATTGCACTCCAGCCTGGGCGATAGAGGGAGTGAGTCTCTGTCTCAAAAAAAAAAAAAAAAAAAAACTTAAAAAAAATATATAATCAATATCAATCCCTACAACCCTCAAATTATAAAGGAAATCATAGATATATATATGGCTAGGTATATAGGTGGAAAGATGAGAGAGAGAGAAAGAGAGGAAGAGGATTAGAGATTAAAAACATATCTAAGAAACACACGTAATTTTTGTATAGCTTTCCACCGAATAGAAAGAATAGTTCAGAGGCACAAAAAAAATAATAACAGTGACAGCCCCAACAACGAAGATCCTTGAATAACAGTTATTATCTAAAGAAATAAAAACAAATTTGTTTTTTATCTCATTGGTTTACACAAGGATAAAATTTTATGAATTTTATACTATCTGCATTAACTTTTTAATGCAGAAAACAATTTGGAATGAGACGGAAAATGTGTATTAAATAAATTTTTCCCCTGGGCTCAATAGTCTTGAATATATTAATATAAAAATAAAACAACAAATCTTTGGAAATTACTTCTATAATTCTATCTAGACATCTATGTAACCCATGAATATCACTAAGCTTTAAGTGTCATCATGTTCTGTTGCCTGGATCTATTCTTTGTAAATTTGAGAAAGTCATACACCCTTTCTCAGTCTCAGTTTATGTATCTATGAAATGGAGATAATTATCATTATTTAACAAGGTTATTATAAAAAGTAAATTTAGAAATGTATGTGAAAAGACCTAGCATATTACCTTATACACAAGCACTTAAAAAATTTTCACTGTGTCTGAAACTGTTCCACATAGCAAAAGACAGAGATACCAAATTCCACAATACATTTGTCACATCCATGTGTCCTCAGAGGAAAAATAACCAGAATAAGAATCAGAGGCTCTAGATGCCAGTATTTGCTCTGGCATGATTGTATATGTGATCTCAGTTGCTTCATCTACCTAGAACATAAGCCCTCCCAGGAAGTCAGTCCACAAGAGTATGGAGTTTGGTCTTGTTCACTCGTGTAGGCACCAAAGGAGATTTGCTAAATAAGTAAGTCTAATAATGAAGGAGGTTGCAGTAAGTCATTGATTTAAGGCAGTGGCTCAGGGTGGATACAGGGTGAGAATCCTGTGCGACTTTGAGCACGTACAGTTCCTTATCCTTGCTGATTTTCAGTTTCCTCAACAGTAAAATGACACAATAATGGCATTCAGTTTTTGAAAGTTATTTGAGGATTGCATGGAATAATACATCACATGTATAAGTGTTTCCTGCCACATAAGAAATTCTTAAAAGACTGGACTTAAATTTTCATTATCAGGACCACAACCTTGGTATTCTAACATTCGTGAATTCCCTTACTGCAATTTCTAAAAACATGTGCTTACATGTCAGCACATTAGTCAACTAAATAATTTCTTTCCTTTGCTATTCATGTTGGGATGGCCTTGCTGGTGCTGTAGACATTGGGAGAATTCCCACTCTCAGTTTCCTTTTCCTGGATTGTACAAATTCTGCACTGCTGAAATCTAAATTCACTGAGTAGACCTACAAAATACAATTCGAAAGCATCACAGTAGCCCGGGTTCACAATTCATGGAGCCATTCTCGCACTCTCCAAATTATGACAGAGCCATGGCTTTCACCAAAAGTTTAATTTCTGTTTGTTTATACAATTTATAAATGACAATAAATATAATAGATATAATTTATAAATGTCTCGTACTTCGGCTTCCTCCTGTATTAACATGGGAATAGTCTTACTATTTGTGCAATTGTTTTTATTTGCCTGTATTTTTAAGTAGCCCTTTGAGGCTTTCAAAAAGTTTTTATAGACTTTATATACTTATAAGGAAACACAGATATACAAATACGTATACACATACAAACATGCTCACACATACAATCACAAACACAATAGGAAACATGCCATGCCTAGTAAGATAATTTGGGAACTAAAAAGTGTCCCTGGCAAGGTTTCTGATTTTGAGATCATATTCCTTTTTTCTTTTCCTTCTTCTGCCTTAAAATTTCAAGTAAAAAAGCCTCAATACTGTTATAAACACCTCAAAAAATACTTGGGCTCTCCAACTTACTGTTAACACTCTTACAATTGATCAGCTCAGGAAAACCTTTGCTTTGTCATTTTCTTGCTGTTTGTTTGTGTTTGCAATCAGTAGCATTCTTAATCCATGATTTCCTTACAGGATGGTGTGTAGGCCCTTTGCTGATTAGATTAGTTCTACTTTAATTAAAAACAGATAATGTATTTGATAAACCAGGCACACATAAATTGAAATACACGGGAAGATAACAAAAGGAGGAAGATGCTGATATTAAGTTTTCCTTTTTCCGGTTTATTTTATGTGCAAATATACCCCAAGACCCTTTGACATACAGATACGCTTGGATCATCAGGTTATTACATGTACCCATGATTATTAAGGCTCAAACTTTCTTCTTTATTTTTAGATTAATAATAAAACTAATTTGTCAAATCCTTAAAAAAACATTCTTAATCTCTACTTTTATAGAACTGTGTAGGTAACTTTGTTAGAGCTCTTCTTACTTTGCATTTTAGTAGTTTACATGTTAACAGAGTATAAAGTGTTCTGAAGCAGGAGATTAATTTTTGATTCCTACTAGAGAGCACAGAACTTGCATACAGAAAATAATCAACACTTTTTTGTTTAATTAGTGAAGGAATTAATGGCTTTGCCCCACTCAAAGAGAAACACTAAACTCTAAACTTACTAATGCAGTTATACCTCATTATTGCAGGTACTGGTCCAATATGGCTGAATGAAGTGTTTTGTTTTGGGAGAGAATCATCTATTGAAGAATGTAAAATTCGGCAATGGGGGACAAGAGCCTGTTCACATTCTGAAGATGCTGGAGTCACTTGCACTTTATAATGCATCATATTTTCATTCACAACTATGAAATCGCTGCTCAAAAATGATTTTATTACCTTGTTCCTGTAAAATCCATTTAATCAATATTTAAGAGATTAAGAATATTGCCCAAATAATATTTTAGATTACAGGATTAATATATTGAACACCTTCATGCTTACTATTTTATGTCTATATTTAAATCATTTTAACTTCTATAGGTTTTTAAATGGAATTTTCTAATATAATGACTTATATGCTGAATTGAACATTTTGAAGTTTATAGCTTCCAGATTACAAAGGCCAAGGGTAATAGAAATGCATACCAGTAATTGGCTCCAATTCATAATATGTTCACCAGGAGATTACAATTTTTTGCTCTTCTTGTCTTTGTAATCTATTTAGTTGATTTTAATTACTTTCTGAATAACGGAAGGGATCAGAAGATATCTTTTGTGCCTAGATTGCAAAATCTCCAATCCACACATATTGTTTTAAAATAAGAATGTTATCCAACTATTAAGATATCTCAATGTGCAATAACTTGTGTATTAGATATCAATGTTAATGATATGTCTTGGCCACTATGGACCAGGGAGCTTATTTTTCTTGTCATGTACTGACAACTGTTTAATTGAATCATGAAGTAAATTGAAAGCAGGACATATGAGAAAACTGACCATCAGTATATTTGTCCAGATAATTGGTGGATCAAAAATGCCACTTAACAGGAAGTTTAGTTTGTTATGCACTTTAAATGGAATAATTAGCTTGTTACAATTCTAGGACATGGTGTTTAAAATTTAAATCTGATTAATCCATTTTAACAAACAATGCAAACATCTTCAGTGCAGAAGGAAGAGTGGTTTCAACTGTTTGGAGTCTTTTATGAAGTCAGTCAACATTTACAACCAAAGGGCGGGGGGGGGGGTGGGGGGTGCGTCTTTAGTCCTAAAGGGACAATAACTCTGAGCATGCCCCAAAAAAGTAGTTTAGCAACCTTTTGTTGGTAGTCAACCCATCCCCAGGGCCATAGTGTAGAGTGTGAAAAGCTACCCTGAAACCCAGTAATTCTACCCTGAAAGTGACTGCCTGCAGAAAGACCAGCAGTTGATATTAAAGCGCAAATGAATTCAACCTCAGCCCTGAAAATAACAGAATTCTGAAGTTTCCTATGACTAATTCACAAAAAAAGTAATTGTAAACTAGTACTATTATGGAATTACTCTACTGTTCTTTCTTTAATAGTGGCAAATGAAAGCATAAGCTTAAGCATTTTTTCATATTCTGAAGTCTCACCACACATAATAACCAAGTGGTAGACTCACAGCCGTCCAACTTAAAAAGGCAAAACCTTACCTTGGAATTGGAATTACTGTAAACAGCCTACTGAAAATGCATTTTTATCATGTAACATTCTTCTACTTGTTTAACATTGCTGATTTTCTCTGGCAGCATAATTTTGTGGTTAAGAGAATGAATTCTGAATGTACACTTTCTGTCTCAAACCCTGGCTGTAATTTCAGCTAGTTAATAATTCTTTGTGTTCAGTTCCACTATCTAGGTATTTTCTTCAAAAGGTAAATACAATGGTTTCTGAAAGAATCATTTGCATTATCAGCCTGTTTGGGATGTCTGAGATCAGTGCCTCTGGGTTGTTAATACTGTATTGCTGTATGGTATATGTATGCTGATTTACTACTTATGCGTAAGTGGTATGCATGGGATGTCTGAAATCAGTGCCTATGGGTTGTCAATAGTATTAACTATTAGTGTTAACTGTTAGTATTAACTATTAGTATTATTAACACTAATAATAGTACTATTACTATTACTATTTTTATTTTAAAATAAAATTTACCTTTAAAATAATAATAGTACTATTGCTAGTACTAGTACTATTGCTATTACTAGTACTATTACTAGTACTAGTACTATGACACTGTTAATAGTACTATTAACAACCCATAGGCACTTGGGATGTCTGAGATCAGTGCCTATGGGTTGTTAATACTATATTGCTGTATGGTATATGCATGCTGATTTACCACTTATGCATAGATATATCTTTAATAAGTAATCTAAAAATCCTTTTTGTATTTGAGAGAATCTACTAAGTTCAGTCCAGTCAAGAAAAGAACCTAATAGCACCAATACAAATTGAGGACTTAATTTACTTTGGAATGTTGAATTGCATTTGTTCCATTAAAAAAAACAGAAATTTGCGATTTGGTTTTTTTGAAAAAATAGCTCAGCTGACCAGAATGAATGTATTCTACTTGTTGAGCCATCCAGCATCACGTTAAATGCAAAATGTATATATAAATAAAAGAAGAAGAAAAAAGAAAGACCAAAGGGATGTAGAAAATGAAGAATAACCATTAATATCTAAGGGCCAAACACATTCCACCTAAATTATCTAAATAGTTTCAAATCAAAACTTTCCATTTTTTCAAAACGTATAGACCATAGTAGTTTGTACTTAAGTAAAGCATTACATTAATTTGTAATGTGCCTATTACAAATAATATACAGTTGACCCTTGAACAATGCAGAGGTTGGGAGCACTGATCCCTTCACAGTGAAAAATCCACATATAACTTTTGACTCCCCCAAAACTTAGCCACTGAGAGCCTACTGGTGACCAGAATCCTTACCAATAACATAAATAGTCAATTAACCATTTTTGTATTACTAATAATGTCAACTAACACATTTTATATGCATGATGTACTGTATTCTTACAAAAAAATAAACTAGAGGAAAGAAAACTTTAATTAAATCATAAGGAAGAGAAATATATTTACTATTAATCAAGTGGAAGTGAACCATCATAAATGTCTTCATCCTTCATTGTTGTTTTCATATTGAGTAGTCTGAGAAGGAGAAAGAGGGGGAGTTGGATTTGCTGTCTCAGGAATCGTAGAGGTGGAAGATCCATGTATAAGTGGAACAGTGCACAGTTCAAACACATATTGTTTAAGGGTTGACTGTAATAATATTTGCTATGAAGGGTAAAATGAAATATTTCTACCCTCAGTCATTTGTTTGATCAGTATGGCAGTGATATGTATGTCCAAAGCAATCACACTCAAGAGATACAAATTTACCATCACTGGGTTACAATGGTAAGCATTATTTACTCTCCGGAGTTGGAGAAGCTCAAGGCTGGTGAAGCTCAAGATCTCATGTTAACTAAATAAAATCAAGATTATGGCAGAGAGGAGGAAAAAGTCAATGTTTGTCAGGTAGACAATTAACAATGTTCCCTCAGAAAAGCACAATTAGGAGATGATTACGTTGAGATTTTTTTAATTCATTGAGACAGTATATAGGAATTTTAGGAACATGTGTTTGGCACTAGATGTGGTTTTGGCTTTTAATCACACATAAAACCATAATATAGCCTGATTTTTTTCAACTATGCATTTTCTTTGCACTTTTTCTTTATTGAATGGTAGGTAATACATTTTAAAATGTTTTTCTTTAACCACACCAATCTTCTGGTTACATAACATACTGAAATATGTATTCCTTTCTGTTATTTATCAGCTATTTTCCTTTGCAGAGTAATTTATATTTAAAACTCTTAGAATTTATGTTTTTAAAATGTTAATATCTTAACAAGAACTTATGTATATGTTATTATTGAGTACATTTACTTAAACAAACAAACAAAAACAAAGAGCAATATTAACAAAATGGTGGAGTAGGCAGCTTCATGAATTCATTCTTTTAGAGAAATATCAAAAAATAAATAGAAACTGTCAGAATCAACTTTTTCAGGACTCTGAAAAAATTCAGAATTTTACAGCAACTAAGCAAATGTTGAGTCAAGAAAAAGGCAACTTTGAAACAACAGTAAAGTTTGTGATATTTTTACCTGCCTTCCCCCTACCTCCTCCTGGATGCAGCAATGTTTTTTTTTTTTTTTTTTTTTTGTCTTGAGGTAGTGGTAGGCAGTCTACATTCGTAGCTTGGGCCCTTGGGCCCTGGTTCCATGGGAAGCAGAGATGACCTTCCTCACAAACAGTTGTGTTTGTCTGTTTTAATCTGTCTAAGAAATTCCCTGAAGGACTGATGCAAAGCATTCAACTCTGTTTCACTTAATTTTGAATTCAGGTTGGTAAAGCAGTGGCCGTTGTTCAAAAACACTGTTAGCTGAAATAACAACCCTCAAATGCATGGGTCACAACATTATAGTTGAAACATGAAGTAGAGAGCATAAGGCCTGGTAGCAAAAACTGAAGACAGTTTCTTTGGGAAATTAGGGTGTTTAAAAAAATGAATGCAGGGAAGTTTAGAAAGCCGCATGCATGCTCAGGGCGAAACACATGCCTTGAAAAGAACCTAAACTTTCACCTTGGGCTGATCTCTAGGATTAGTGCAAATCTGGCTAAGTGTTAACGGCGTGCCCAGGCTCAGAAACAATCTGCAAATACTGAGGGAGATGGATTGTTGTTGGTTGTGTTGGTTGCTGCAGATTTTGTGTTTTGTCTTTTATTTCTGTTTTTAGTGCTTGGCATTCAAAAACACTAGCTTAACACAAAGTAAGGAAAAGAGACTCCAGTGATCATCAACAATAAGGAACACAGTCTTGGTAAAAATCATTCAGGATAGTCACAAAACAAAAATAAGCAAAAGAAATTAAAAGAATGGTCACTGAGGAAGTACAGATGTTGTACCTACTTGACAAAGACATTAAAACAACTGTCTTAAATATGCTTTAAAAAGTAATGGACAAAGAATGAAAGGAAATATGAAAAATAATGTGTTAGCCATATTAGAATATCAATAAAGATACAAAAATTACAAAAAATAGAGCCAAACAGAAACTGCATCTGAAAATACAATTACTAAAATGAAAACGTTATTAGAGGGCTTTAACAGCAGATTTCAACAAGCAAGAGAATTAGTTCATCTGAAAATAGGACAATTTAAATTGAGTCTGAGAAGCAGATAGAAAAAAATAATGAAGAAAAGTAAAAAGAGCTTAAGGGACATGTGGGACACCATCAAGTGGGCCAAAATATGCATTTTGAGAGTCCCAGAGACAGAGAGGAAGTAGAAGAAAGAATAGGTAAATAAATACTAAACAAAACTTCCCAAATTTGATGGTAGGCATGAATCTAAAAGTCCAAGAATCTCAAAAAACTCTCACACCAAGACAAACTGGTCAAACTGCCGAAAGAAAAAGACAAAGAGAGTCTTGAAAGTAGCAAGGGAGAAGCAACTTGTCATATACAATGGACCTTCAAAAAGATTAATAGCTGATTTCTCATCAACAGAAACCATAAGGCCAGAAGACATTTGGATGACATATTTAAAGTACTGAAAGAAAAAGAAGAAGAAACAAAACCCCCAAATCTGTCAGCCAAGAATATCATGTCTGGTAAAACTGTCCTTCAAAAATGAGAGAGAAATTAAGACTTTCCCAGATAGGCTGGGTGCGGTGGCTCACGCCTGTAATCCCAGCACTTTGGGAGGCCGAGGTGGGTGGATCATGAGGTTAGGAGATCAAGACCATCCTGGCTAACTTGGTGAAACCCTGTCTCTACTAAAAAATAGACAAAATTAGCTAGGTATGGTGGTGGGCGCCGGTATTCCCAGCTACTTGGGAGGCTGTGGCAGAAGAATGGCGTGAACCTGGGAGGTGGAGCTTGCAGTGAGCTGAGATCGCACCACTGCACTCCAGCCTGGATGACAGAGCAAGACTCCATCTCAAAAAAAAAAAAAAAAAAAAAAGACTTTCCCAGATAAACAAAAGCTGAGGAAGTTTATTGCCAGTATGTCCTGCCCTCGCCCTCTGAGATATGTTAAAGGGACTCCTTCAGGTTGAAATGAAAAAACACTAGACATTAAACTAATGTCATATGAAGAAATAAAGATCTTCAGTAATGGTAAGTACATGAGAAAATATAAGAGCTAGTATTGTTGTATTTTGTGTTTATAATTTCATTTTTTAATTTCCTGCATGATTTAAAAGATCTAAGTGTTAAAAATAACTATATGTTTATTGTATTATACACATATAAACATGTAATATGGGCCAACAACAAAGTGTGAGAAATATGGAGTACTTAGAAGCAGAGGTTTTAAATGTTATTGAAGTCAAGTTGGCATCAATTTAAGACAGATGTTATAAATTTAGGATGTTAATCACCATGGTAGTCACTAACAAAATATCTAAAAATATATTCACAAAAGGGAATAAGAAGAAAACAAAATGGTTCACTACAAAAAAAAGTCAACTAAATACAAAAGAAGGCAGTAATGGAAGAAATGAGAACCATAAAGGTATGATGCATATAGAAAAATGTTGGAATGTCAAAAGTTAGTTCCTGTCAGAATTACATTAAATTCAAATGGATTAGGTTCTCTAAGGCAGCAATTGGCAGAATGAAATTTTTTTAAATGATAACTGTATGTTGTCTGCATGAGACTCACTTTAGATTCAAAGACACAAACACATTCAAAGTGAAGTGATGAAAAAGGTATTTCATGCCAATAGTAACCAGAAGAGAAATGAAGTTGTTATTTTAATATCAGACAAAATATAATTTAAGTCAAAAACTTAAAAAATGAAAAGACCATTATATATCAATTAAAGGACATTATATATTGATAAAAGAGAGAAGACACAAATTCATCAAAAAGATATAACAATTATAAACATATATGCACCAAAACCCTGAGCCCCAAAATATATGAAGCAAACATTGACAGAATAAAGTGAGAAATAAACAGTTCTACAATAGTAGTTGAAAACTTCAATACAATACGTTCAATGATGCTTAACACTTCTAGAAAGAAGATCAATAAGGAGATAGAGGAATTGAACCACCCTATACAACGACTAGACCTAACAAGCATATATGTATGTGTGTGTATATATATACACACACATATATACATATATATACACATATACATATATACACACATATACATATATGTATACATATATACACATATACATATATGTATACATATATACACACATATACATATATGTATACATATATACACATACACATATGTATACATGTATACATATATACACATACACATATGTATACATGTATACATATATACACATACACATATGTATACATGTATATATACACATACACATATGTATACATGTATACATACACATACACATATGTATACATGTATACATATATACACATACACATATGTATACATATATACACATACATATATGTATACATATATACACACATACATATATGTATACATATATACACACATACATATATGTATACATATATACACACATACATATATGTATACATATATACACACATACATATATGTATACATATATACATATACACACATACATATATACATATATACATATACATATACATATATACATATACATATACACACATACATATATACATACATGTACATATATACATACACATATGTACATATATACATATATACATATGTACATATATACATATATACATATACATATGTACATATATACATACATGCACATATATACGTATACATATGCACATATATACATATATGTACGTATGTATATACATGTATGTACATGTGTATATGCATGTATGTATGCATATGTATACATATGCATATGCACGTATGTATACATGTGCATATGCACGTATGTATACATGTGCATATACATATGTATATATGTACATATATGCATATACATACATATAGACATATATACATACATATATACATATATACACATATACATATGTACACATATATATACATATATACATATATATACATATATATATAAACATTTCACCCAGCAGCAGTAAAATGCACATTCTTCTCAAGTGCACATGAAATGTCATCCAGCATGCAACCTATTTGTGATTGAATGGCCACCATAAAATCTCAATAAATCTTGAAAGACTGAAATTGTACAAGTATCTTTTCTAGCTACAGTATAGCAAGAAATTGTCATAATTATTCCATTATTATACAAGGAAAACTGGAAAATGTATAAATTTGTGGAAATTAACACACTCTTAACCAATGGGTCAAAGATAACTCACATGGGAAATTAGAACTACTTGGAGGAGATGAATGAAAATTAAAACATAATACACCAACACTTAGGGAATGCAGTATAAGCTGTACTCAAAGGAAAATTTATAGCTGTAAATACATACATTAAAAAGAATGATCTTTTGGTGTTATGATATGTATGTTAATTTTCACCCAAGGCTCCTGGCTTATAACTTCCATAGGCCTTGTTACAGTCTTTTGTTATAATGTTGGGTGTGTTAGGCCACAGGGGGAGGCTGCTGACCTTTTCTTACCTTCTTTTCACCTGCCCCCAGGCAGGACTGTAGCCTTTCCTCAGCTTTCTTATTGTGGGTCTTAAGGCCTTCCAACAGAAAGAGTCATGACCTATACTTTGGGGGAAGGAATGCTGACATCATGAAGCTTTAATAAAAACCAAAAAGGAGTGAGTTTGAAGGGATTCCAAATAACTGAACATGTGGAGGTTCCTGGAGGGTGGCATGCCCAGGGAGAGCGTGGACGCTCTGCACCCCTTCCCCCATACTAAATTGTATGCATCTTTTTATCTGTATCCTTTGCAATATTCTTTATACTAAACTCGTAAATGCAAGTGTTTCCCTGAGTTCTGTGAGCTACTCCAGAAAATTAAATGAACCCAATTATAAGAAGGAGATGTGGGAACCCCAACTTGAAGCCATTTGTTCAGAAACTTGCAACTAGTGTTTGAGGGTATGGGGGACAATCTTAGTGACTGAGCCTCCAACCTGGTACTGTCAGAACTGAAGTAGAAGGCACTCAGCTGGTGTCTGCTGGTTAATGCATGAGGAAAAACTCCCCACATATTTGGTCACATAATTCTTCTTCTGTGTCAATGATCATTGTTTTGGTGTGACAGTAGAGGAAAAATGCAGTTAAAGAGAGGCTTCCCTACATAGATCTCAAATCAAAAACCTAACTTTACACATGAGGAGTAAAAGAAGAGCAAGGTAAACCTAAAGCTAGCGGAAGGAAAGAAATAATAGCAATTAGAGCAGATATGATAAAATATGATAAAATAGAGAATAAAAATACAATAAAGAGAATTGGCCAGGTGCGGTGGCTCATGCCTGTAATCCCAGCACTTTGGGAGGCTTAGGAGGACGGATCACGAGGTCAGGAGATCGAGACCATCCTGGCTAACATGGTGAAACCCCGTCTCTACTAAAAATACAAAAAATTAGCTGCGTGTGGTGGCGGACGCCTGTAGTCCCAGCTACTCGAGAATCTGAGACGGGAGAATGGCGTGAATCCGGGAGGCAGAGGTTGCAGTGAGCTGAGATCGTGCCACTGCACTCCACTCCAGCCTGGGCGACAGAGGGAGACTCCATCTCAAAAAAAAAAAAAAAGAAAGAAGGGTGGGCCTCATGGAGGGAGCAATGGCGAGAGTGCACAGAACAAAGAAGGGAAGGATTTGTGTCTCTAACATAGTCAGTCCCTGCTACTGTGTCCAGTCTCCATAGGTTGGGGTCCGACGACACAATCTAAGCTGATCCTCATTGACTACTTCAAATGGAGCAGGGGTGGGGGCTACAGAGCAACTTCGGAACTAAGGGTACCAAATCAGGAACAGATGTGAGTTGTTACAGATTGGGAATGGATGTGGGTTACAGATTGGGAACAGATGTGGGTTAATGGATGTGGGTTACAGATTGGAAATGGCTGGAAGGTTGTTTATCCTAACTAGGGGCAAGGAGGCAAGGAAGTTAGGCTTTGAAAACAGAGGACAAGTGTAACCTCAGAAGAGGAACTCGCTGTTTCCAACAACTTCTCCCTCTTGATTTTCATAATTTTTCCTCTTCAAACTTTTTAGAGTCTACCTACAGGAATAAGTACATCTATAAGAACAGTAAGAGGTAAGGCGTTGTAAATACTTTTGTAATTGTTCCATCGGGGGCTGTGTTATTGGGACGGAATAAGGACAGACTGGTTGCTAAGCTCTTGGAAGGGCTTAAGCTCACGGCATCCCATTCGGTCTCCAAGGAATGCTAAATTTTCCCCCTGTTGTGAGAGTCACAAGGTAAAATTGGCATCGGGCGACGGAGGCTGGATGGCCCTAGGGGGCTGACCCGCAGGGTTGTCAGGCTTCAGGGAATAGCAGAGAGAGAAAGAGGGAGAGCTTGGCAGAATTTATTACCCCAGGCTGCGGGGTCTTGGAAGAGAGCTACCATACGGCTCATGTCCTGTCAGCTGGAAGGAATAAAGGAGGTATCTTAGTTTTAGTTTGGTAGGACTCTCCCCCAGAACAATGGCCCATGACTCTGGATGTGGCGATGCCTTCTTGACTTGGGTATGATGAGTCCATCCGCTTTCTGCTGTTTGGACTGCGGTCTCGGTGGTTAGAAACAGTAGGTATGGTTGTTCCCAAGCCGGTTCAAGTTTTCTTTCCTTCCGACTTTTGATGAGGATGTAATCCCCAGGCTGATGCTGGTGTGCTAGGAACTCTAGGGGTGGCACCTGTGCTAAAAGACCTTTAGTTCTGAGGGAAGAGCAAGTGGAAGATCTGATCTTTTGTTTCAAACATAGGAATGTCAGCAGTGGAGTGTCAAAAGGGCAACCCAAATAGCATCTCACAAGGAGATAAACCAGCATCTTTCTGAGAGGCAGTTTGAATTCTTAATAAGGCAATGTGAAGGCATTTAGTCCATGGCAGCCGAGTCTTTAAGACTAATTTGGTTAAGTGACTCTTCAAAGTTTGGTTCATTTTCTCCAGTCTTCCTGATGAAGGTGGGTGCCAGGGAGTATGGTATTCCCATGTTATGTCTAGTGCTTGAGTTAATTTCTCAATGACTTGTGCAGTGAAATGAGTCCCATTATCTGCCAAACCTGGGTATAATATTTTCCATCAATGCTTTACCTACATTATTCGTAGTTGCGCTTGAAAAGGGAATAGCTTCCACCCAGTGAGTAAGACGATCTACTATCACTAATAAGTAATCAGTATAAATAATCCCTTCCTTTTTTTGCAAGTGATTTGAAGCCTGATTTAATGCAAACAATTCACAAGTTTGGGCGGACCAATTATTAGGCAATCTTCCTGACTCTATGCCTGCGAGAGCTTCCCCATCAACTACTGAATACCCATTGTCTTTTTCCTTCATTTACCCGGGAAGAGCCATCTATCAATAAGTGCTGCCCTATTTTGAAAGGAATCTCTCTTAAATCAGGCCTGACTTTTGTGTGATAATCAATTAGATATAAACACTGATGCTTAGGGCCTTTTAGATTTGGATTCCCTGTTAGAAAACCTACTGGGTTAAGTGAATTATCAGTGATTAGTGTTAAATCATCTCTTCCTAGTAGGATAGCTTTATACTTTTAAAATCCTTGAGTCAGTGAGCCATCTTCCTGCTTTCTGGTTTAAAATAGTTCTAACTTGATGGAGTGTGCCGCCTTACATATTTTAAGTTTGGGCTAGAGGTTTCTCCATACATAGTGAACTGTAACTTAATCAGATGTGTAAACAGACTGTAACTTACTCTTGTACCAATCATGAGTTGTGGCCAGCTGTTGAAACTGTGCTCCAATCAGGCAAACACTGTAACCAATTAGGCTGTTTCAGTACCTCAAGTCCATTTTCTGTGTATCACTTTCCTTTTTCTGTCCATAAATCCTCTGCAGCCATGAGGTAGCCTAGAATCTCTCTGAACCTATTCCATTTCATTGGGCTGCCTATTAGTGAGTTATTCTTTGCTCAGTTAAACTCTGCTAAATCTAATTGTTTTAAAGTTTTTCTTTTAACAAGATGTACAGGAAGTTTTAACTGTATTTATAATGTTTTAATTCTCAAGATAGATGGTGGCCACATAGGTGTTCATTCTATTATTTTTCAAACTTTTTTGTAATTGCAATTATTTCATTACAGTGATTAAAGGAAAAGGTATTATAGTGCTGTTACTGGAAAGGGGTCCCGATCCAGGCTCCAAGAGAGGGTTCTTGGATCTCGTGCAAGAAAGAATTTGGGGCAAGTCCATAGGGTAAAGTGAAAGCAAGTTTATTAAGAAAGTAAAGAAATAAAAGAAAGACTACTCAATAGATGGAGCAGCAGCATGGGCTACTCAGCTGCTTATACTTTTTGTTACTTTTTAATTATATGTTAAATAAGGGGTGGATTATACATGAGTTTTCCGCAATGGTGGACCATTCCCAGAACTAAGAGTTCCTCGCCTTTTAGATCATATAGGGTAACTTCCTGACATTGGCATGGAATTTGTAAACTGTCATGGCACTGGTGGGAGTTTCTTCTGGCATGCTAATGTATTATAATTAGCATATAATGAGCAGTGAGGATGGTCAGAGGTCACTCTTTTCACCATCTTGGTTGTCATAGGATTTTGTCCGGCTTCTTTACTGCAACCTGTTTTATCAGCAGGGTCTTTGTGACCTGTATCTTGTGCCAACCTCCTATCTCATCCTGTGACTAAGAATGCCTTAAGCTACTGGGAATGCAGCCTAGTAGGTCTCAGCCTTATTTTGCCCAGCCCCTATTCAAGATAGAGCCACGCTGGTTTAAACGCCTCTGACAGGGGTATATTTGAAGGTGATTGTTTGCAGAGAGAGGGAATGGTGGCAGTATCAAATGCTGCAGAGAGTTCAAATGCGAGAAGTAACAAGTGTCCTTTGGATTGAAGGACCTAGTATATTCTTGTTGACTTGGCAGTTGTTTGAGTGGTGTAGTAGGAATGGAGGTTGAGAAGAGATAGGAAATTGTGAGGTAAAGACAAGGAATAGCAACAACATATATGAAAGATATGTTTATTCTAACAGAATTCTGTTGTAAGATGGCCTGGACACAGTTCAAAAATAGACCTAGCTTGAAGAGGTTTATCACATGTGTTTTTCTCTGTGTGTATTCCCATTGCACTTTAAACCAACACACATTGTAAGCAGTTTCTCTGCTGAGAAGCAGTAAAGATGCAGCAAGTGCTTATAGTCATGCAATATGCATTTTTAGAGACCTTGATTGCTTTGAATTTAGGCCACTATATATAAATGACAAGCATGTAATAAAAGTTCAACAGGATGGGTACATTTGGGGCAGATTTACCTTAAGTAGGAGTGAACTAGAGGTGGAAGGGAAGTTTCCAATTGTTGACTCAGTTTAAGGAGTTAGGAGGAAAATGAAAGATGGAGAGGAATAGATCCAAGAATCAGGAAGAGACAAATGAGACTAGGAGAAATAAAATAGTATGAGAAATGAGGATTAGGAAAAACCTTCCTCAATTTGCAATTCTTGACCCATGAGAGTATATTTAATACTTCCTTTGCCTTCAATAAATTAATTCACAGTTAAGAATGAATTATCTGTGTATAACACATTGTAAAACTATGTGCTCTCTTCTTGAAGCAGCCAAGCTGAGGTATTTAACTAAGTGCTTACAAAAATGTTAATCCTGTGGCAACAACTACCAGAAGATTTAGTATACCAAGTAAAATCAGAAAGAAATGATCACAAATGAAGGTTAAGTCAGACCACCATTCTAAAATGTGAAAGTGGAAGATAAGAATTTAATAGTAGTAATCAAAATAAAAGATAGTCAATGATCTGTTCTTCATAGGGTTGCCAGATTTAGCAGCAATGACGGGATGACCAGTTACATTTGATTTTAAAATAAAAGACAAATAATTTTTACAGTATAATTATGTTCCATGCAATATGTAGAACAGACTTACATTGAAAACCTTAATTTGCTGTTTATATGAACTTGAGTTTTAACTGAGTGCTCTATATTTTAAACCTGATAGTTCCATTTCGCAGGTGCTCTCACTGATCTTCAGAGTTAAACAGTTGCCTTTTTCTGTTTCTTACTCAATTTCATTTTCAATTTTTCTGTCATATTCCCTTTTTTAATATTATATATCTTTCAGAGTAGTAACAAATAGAATGAAGTTTCAGTTCTCTGAGATCTTATGTTTTGGACTAATTGCTTTACTTAGAACCTTTTCTCAATTATCCAGGCACACTTTGACATATTTCTGGTAATAGAGTTCATTAGTATTCTACTTCCCCTTAAAATTAATTTTGTTCAGAAGACCTAGTTCTAAATTTTATGTCTCTGAATTTTGGCTTTTCAGTAAACTCAGTTGAAAAACGCTTTGGTTATACTACCATGCATTTTGTTACAGATGCAAGAAATGTTAGCATCATGTTGACAAATGACAAAGATTCTCTCCTTGACTGAACTCTAGTCAGGCTCCTCCTAAATCTCCTCTCAATTAGACCCTGACATTTGAACTTTCGTATTTATCTGTACATTGTCCAATTTTAGCAAGAAATCTAAGTCAGTTTAGCAATAATCCCCCATCCGCAATATCTGGTCACCGTTGATATCTAATGAGGTTTCTCCTCCTCCACCATCCCAGAGGTGAGGTCTAATCATCCTGGCTGGCCTTCAGCAAGAATCATGGTAGGTCAGCTTAGCCAGAATCCACCCAAACTCCTGCATTTTCCCCCACTGGCTCCCCACCTTTACCCTGATCCAGCTACTTGGCTACAGATTTTCACATTTCCTTGTTATATTCAGAATTGAGCCCCATCTCTCTCCTCTATTACAAAACCTTATTATGGTAGCCTCTCTCAAATGAAGTCTTCCTTACTGTTTTTAATGAGTGTCATGAATAGTTTTCCGTCCAACACAGAAACAAGTAATTTTTAAAAAACTGAAAAAAGAATTCTGAAATCTACTCTGGGAAATAGACATGGCTGACTATGTTATTAAGGATTACTTTTGCAAATGTGGCTCATGTGGAACTCTATACCAATTTCCATCATCCCCCTTCTTTGTGCAGTAAAAGAGAGTCAAGATATTCATTTAGGGAAATCAATCCTCCAAACCTAAGGTAGATTTCATTGCTTAATACTCTCTCCAAATACAAATATAAAAATGGATTAAAATGATTTATTCCAAGAGCAATGCATTTCTCTTAGTAAATTTTAAATGCATTAAGTTTTACTTTGTTACATGAAAAAGATGTTAAAATACATTGGATTTTACAAAAACTTTCCATGCTTTGCAGTTGTATTCAAATCTGTATCTTCATTTCCCTTGAAATTATCGATGTGAAATAAACATTTGTAATTTGATTCTCACTAAATGTAACCTATTAACATTTTAAAGTGTTCTTCTTAAGGTAAATAGCTTTCTAAAGATCGATAACATTTGATTCTTTTCCAAATAAAGTATACATCCATATTATTGATTATATTGATGTATATTCCCAATATCACCAAAGAAGAAGTACAAGGCTTTGTAGTAAAACTAACGTGGGACTTAGCCCTAGCTCCACTCAATTCTGCTTTGTGATATTGTATGAGCCACTTAAACTCTGTATCTCAATTTTTATTTGTGTAAAACTGATCTAATTAGAACTGCTTTATAAGGCTACTGTGAAAGTTAAAAATACTAACGAAGCAAAACACTTTTAATGCCAGGATGACTCTGAGTGTTCATAGTACCACTTATCAGTGCGGAATCTTATATCTGACTCTTTTTTCCATTTAGGAGGCATTAACGTTTATTATATGGACATCCACTATCATTTAGGATTCCTTACACCTTCCCTACAGAAAGGTGAATACATAGCAAAGTAGAAAGAATGTTATCAGGAAACCTTCCGATGCCTTTTTCCAGTCATGTTTTTCATCTTGCCATCCTCTTCCCCTGTCCCAGCTACTTGACGTCTTTATGTTGGCTCTCATAAGATGTACGAGAGGAGGATGGAGAAAGAAATTTTCTTAGTGGCATGTCACCTCCCTGGATCTATAAAACTTAGATCTTCAGAACTACTCTCTTGCAAACTCCTACCTCTGTTAGCATTTATATGATGCATTATTTAGAACCCAACTGTGAATCTCAGATCGGATCTCTTTCCTTTTGTGGCCAAAAAAAAAACAAAAAAAAGCTACCACCAAATCTGCTTGCCTTCCTCTTAGTAATGCAGGTACAGATAGGAATGACTATGCTACTGAGTTCTAACTAAAGAAATGTCGGAAGAAATAATATAAACTACTCACAGGCATCATCCATAACATTTCCTGCTAAATCTTTCTGTCCCTCTCTCATTCTTCCTCCATTTTCAGCCTGAAATATATCAACGAAGAAGCCAAATCATAGAAATCAGACTCTCTTCCAGTATTATGAACTGAATGTTTGTGTCTCCCCCAGTTCATATGCTGAAATCCTAATCTCCAGTGTAATGTCATTAGGAGGTGGGAGGGGGAGCCTTTGAGAGATAATTAGATCATAGTGCAGAGCCCTCATGAATGGGGTTATTGCCCTTCTATGAAGAAACACAAGATAGATGATTTCTCTCTTGACCATGTGAGGATACAACAAAAACACGACCACCTGTAAACCATGAAGAGAGACTTCACCAAGAATTGACCATTGTGGCAGCCTAATCTGGAACCCAGTTCCAGCCTCCAGAATTGTGAGAAGTAAATATTGTTCAAGCCACCCAGTCTATGGTACTCAGTTATAGCGGTCCGCACTGACTAAAACAGAAACTGGTACTGAGAAGTGGTGTGCTAATGCAACAAACACCTAACGATGTGGAAGGAGCTTTGTTACTAGGTAATGAGTGGAGAGGCTGGAAGGGTTTTGAGCTGCATGCTAGAAAAGGCTGCTGTTATCATTAAGTGACTTATAGAGGTGATTCCGGTGAGGGCTCAAAAAGAAAAGGGGAGAGTTGAAAATTCCTAGAGAATACACAAAGAATGAGCTATAGAATGTGGGTAGAAATATGAATATGAATGGTGACTCTGATGCAGTCTCAGACAGCAATGAGGAACATGTTATTGGGCAACGGAGAAAAGAAGATCCTGATCACAAAGCGGCAAAGAGCTTGGCTGAATCGTGCTTGTGTTCTCATGTTTTATGACAGGTCAACCTTGAGAGGATGGACGTTGGATGTTCAGCTGAGGAAAATTCTAAACAAAATGTTGAAGGAGCAGCTTCGTTCTTCCTGACTGCTTATGGTAAAATGTGAGAAGAGAAGAAAAAAAATGAGTTGAAAATGGAATTGTTAAGCAAAAGGAATCAGAACTAAAGATCTGGCAAATTCTCATCCTGTCCACATTAGAAGAAATATGAAAGTACATTGGAAACAGAACACAAAGGGTGTGACACACTTGCCATTTGATAAAGAGATTAGGGTGGATAAGAACCACAGATTCAATCACCCATCTCAACAGAAGCAAGGACTAGAGATGGGCTCTTACCAGCAGATACCCTGACAACTGGGACTAATGGAAACACAAAGTGAGACAGAATGAAGAAAGACTGTGAATGTCTGCTGTCCTTCAATAAAGGGGAAGAAGAACCCCAAAGGTGATTTGGAGACTATCTGGGCCACTGCTTAGGTTTCAGCAAGGCAGATGGCCTCCAACAGAAGTCGTGGGAATGGGCCATCTGGAGTTGTGGGCAGGGGGATGCACAGCAGAGCCTTTGGGGCAGTATCTCAACCCCAAGGAGCAGTGATTTGGGCAGGGCCTTGCTGAGTCATGGGGTCGATGTTGTCACCCTAGTGGGTCCAGAAGTCAGCTCATCAGGCCAAAGAAGATTATTAACAAGACTTAAGGTCTCATAGTTTGCCCTGCCAGGTTTTGGGCTTGCCTGGGGCCCAGCCTCCCTTCTTTTCTTATTTCTCCCTTTTTGGATGGGAATATTTATCCCATATCTATCTCACCATTGTATTTTGGAGGAAGATGACTGTGGTCATCCTGCATTTGGTGCTAACAAGTAGTGAGTATGTATGATAAACTACTATGGAGTAACAACTGAGAATTTCACTATTCCCAGAGAAGCTTAAAAATTAAGACAAGTCAGGGTCCAGAGAAATAGGTATACATGAACTCAGACATCAAGAATACTAAACTAATATGTCTGTATTTATAGTTACACAATAGCTAAATGTCACGGAAAACTAGAAAGACAGAAATATTTATTTGAGGTAGTGAAATTAATGAAGTGAAAATGAGCAAATGGAAGCACCCTAGAACAGCTTTCAAGGAGTTTAACAGTTAAGAATTTTGGAAGGACGTATTTTACAGGTAATAGAAAAGTATAGAGGGGCGGCTTAAATTCAGTACAATATGTGCAAGGGTTAAGGGCATTGAAGATTGTTATAGGAGGATGCAAGATGAATACCTACCCATCAAAACAAGGGAGTAGGAGAGAATTCCTGAAGGAAGTGTTTTCACCTGCTTCGGTGATTAAGAACCTAAAGATAATTTAGAGGAATTTTGGAATGTTTATACAGGAGTAAAGATGGTCAAAGATACTCACTTCCTTCTTCCTTGAATCCATAAATATGTTACATGACAAAGAAAATTAAGTTTACAGGTAGAATTATAGAAGTAAAGATGGTGAAAGATGCCCACGTCCTTATTCCCAGAAGCCATGACTATTATATTTTGTTGTATGGCAAAGGAAGATTAAAGTTACAGATAGAATTAAGGTGCTTGTCAGCTGACTTTAAAATAGAAAAACTATCCTTATGAGCCCAGTGTAATACTTTAAAACTAGAAGAGGAAGCAGAAGAGGAGGTGAAGAAATGTGAGGAGGCCTCTCTCCACCATTGCTGGCTCTGAAGATGGATGAAGAAAACCTTGGACCAAGGAATGCAGGAGCATCTAGAAGCTGGAAAAGGTAAGAAAATGGATTTTCCTTCAGAACTTCCAAAAAAAAAAGCAAACTGCTGAGATGTCGATTTTTGCCCATTAATATCTATGTCAGACTTCTGACTGCGTTTGTGTTGTTTTAAACTAGTAAATATGTCCTAATTTCTTACTCTTCCAGCTTCAGGCAGCTTCTTGACTTGTAGTTGTATCACTGCAATCTCCTCCTCCAAGGTCGCATTGCCTCCTCCTTCTTCATTCTGTGTCAAACCTCTCTGACACACAAATGTCATTAGATTTAGGGACCAAACAGGAAAGTCCAGGATAATCTTCTCACATGCAAAACTACCAGAAAGAAAGAAAAAAAGCAGTCCTGTTCTGTCTGATTTCTAAATTCTGAAAATATATTGTATGCTACTGAGAAGCCAAAGTCAAAATTCTAGGTAATGGCAAGCCAATAAATTTGAAACAAAAATGCCAAAAATAACAAATGAAAAAATTTTTAAAGAATCATGTCTTTAGACAGCACATATATTATAAATTTAAGAAACGTATTAGTTTATAATTTTTAAAAAATATATTGGTAGAGAAAGGAGAGGAGAGACAACTATACAATATAAACTTCGGGGGAAATGTTTGCCCTTTCTAATCTAACGAGTTCTTCTGTTTGTTTCGGGAATGTTGTTTTTTCTCATAGTTGGGAGAAATCATAAATATTTATATTAATTTTTATTAATTTAAATGACAAATATCAATTAATAGACACTTTGAAACATTACAACTGAGGCATTCAATCCCGCAATTGGGTAAGAGCCCATGTTATAATCCCAATTTTATAGATAAAAATATTAAAACTAAGGGTTTAAGTCATATAGAATACAGAAGAACTAAAACTTGAACATAGTTCAAGTTTTACACTGCTGTCTAATACCACACTGCTTTTAAACTGTTACACCATTTAACACTGCTATTGTGAAAAAATGAAGTTTTCTTATATCCCACTGCTATTTTTTGTTGTTGTTTTGTTTTCTTTTGCACAGAGTTTCGCTCTTGTCGCTGACGCTAGAGTGCAGTGGTGTGATCTCAAGTCACTGCAACCTCCACCTCCTGGATTCAAGTGATTCTCCTGCCTCAGCCTCCTGAGTAGCTGGGATTACAGGCGCCCGCCACCACACCCGGCTAATTTTTGTATTGTTAGTAGAGACAGGGTGCCATGTTGGCCAGGCTGGGGTCTCAAACTCCCGACCTCAGGTGATCAGCCCGCCTTGGCCTCCCAAAGTGCTGGGGTTACAGACATGAGCCACCATGCCCGGCCCCCACTGATATTAAAGAAAAGAGAGTTTTCTTATATCTACAGACTTAAAGATGAGTCCAATATTATGCAGAGCTTGTGTTGAACTTACCTCTAATAGATCTCATGATTCCTTTCTCTCCGAATTCAGGTATTTCAAGCTGCCTTACTTGTAGAGAATTTTCTTTGATGCTACAGTTTCAGGGAGAGCATTGGCATCAGAAAACATAATTGCTTCACTGACCCAGTTCATGACATGAGTTATATCCATGTCCACGAATTGAGAGGATTGACTGTTGCAGAGTCACCTCACTGAGTTCAGGATCTCATTACCCACACCCTGTTGGGGACTGCTCATGGTAGGAAGCTGACCTGGTCTCAGTTGCTGTGGTTGCCTAGTATATTTTATCTTAACTTCTTGTTTAGGTCTTTGATCCATCTTTATCTTCCTATTGATTATCTTACTACTTGACTAGTTTTGACACATTGTCTCATTCCCATTTATGGTGAAACAAGTTTCTAATGACAGTGGTGCCCCCTCAGAACTAGATTAGGATTAAGATATTACAAAGTTTTAGAAATTAGCTTATTAATGTTTTTGTTGATTTTTATGATGATGTTCCCACTTTAGTAATCAGTTAAATTCCACTTTAAGTTATCTAGATCCAAAATAAAGAAGAAGAAATCCCATTAACTCTGTCTCTCAATTGTTCCTCTCCTACTCCTGTTGACATGATTCTGATGCCTAGAGAGGTCCCCAGTCCCAGGCTGTCTTCTTCCCTCAGTAGAATCACAGTCCTTCTGTCACCATTCTGCTGTCTTAAACTATGATTGAAATGCCATTTTCTTCTCTTGGCTTTCATGTGTTCTGTTTTTTTCCATCTATCTCTTTCAAAGGACCTCTCTCTTACTCCATTTGTCCAAACCAGAGAAGACCCTCATGCTCTATAAGAATTTTACTCCCAAATCTTCCTCCACCTCCTTTTTCTATGCATTCCATTCATAATGCATTCCCCTCCAGTTAAGAAGATCTTTAAAACTCTTAAGTACAGGCAGTCCTGACTTAGGATGATTTGACTTAATTTTTTGACTTTACAATGGTACTAAATTGTCACAATTTTGACAAAATATACAGTATTCAATAAATTACATGAGATATTTGATACTTTATTATAAAATACCCTTTGTGTGAGATGATTCTGCCCAAGTGTAGGCTAACGTAAGTGTTCTTAGCACATTTAAGGTAGGCTAGGCTAAGCTATGGGCTTGATAGTTTAGGTGTATTAAATGCATTTTCAATTTATGACATTTTCAGTGTGTGATGGGTTTATTGGGACATAACCTCATTCTAAGTCTTGAAATATCTGTGTAGAGTTTTGCAAATGAAAATTATAAAGTAAAAAGTTAAACATATATAAATCCATATACATATATAGAATAATTTCCTCTCTGTAAAATGTCTGAGGTGAGGAAAAAGAAAGGAATAAAATAAAATGGTAACAGATAAGATCAGGGCAAAAGCAGTGACAGGAGACAAATTTATATTTAATACTATGTTAGAACCATTTGTCACGGTGTGGGGCTGACAGTACTGAGACGATGAGTAGGAATACTCTAAGAGATTTGGAAGCAAGGATGTTTTGATAACCGGGACTGATAGGCCAGGTGTCTACCAGTCATTTCATTTGCTATAGCTACTTTTAATAAATGGACAGAACTTTAATCAGGCCACCCAAGATAAAGCAGCCTCTCAGATCACTTCTATCTCAATATTTCCTGAGTAGGCCTCATGATAACGTTCATCTACCCGTAAATCAGAAAATGGTTGGCTCCAGCCTGCAATCCAAAAAGGGGCTCATCTTTTGTTAACCAAGAGCAATTGAAAAGCCTTCCTTTCCCTCTTCTTCCACCCTTTTCTGTTACCTGTTTCTTCTCTAGGTCAAAATTTGTAGGAGGATAAAGGAGAAAGAATGATATCTTTGTAGAAAGCTTCTGCCTTTGTTTTAGAGTCACTCCTAAGAAAATGTTAGCACGAAATTATCTATTTGACAGAAAATTTAATAGGTGATTCAAAAATCAAAGGTAGGACAAGAAGGATTTTATTTGAGTTCCAGAATTAGATTTTTTTTTCTTTTTAATACAGTACAAAGGCCGGGCACGGTGGCTCACGCCTGTAATCCCAGCTCTTTGGGAGGCCGAGGCGGGCAGATCATGAGGTCAGGACATCGAGACCATCCTGGCTAACATGGTGAAACCCCGTCTCTACTGAAAATACAAAAAACTAGCCGGGCGCGGTGGCGGGCGCCTGTAGTCCCACCTACTTGGGAGGCTGAGGCAGGAGAATGGCGTGAACCTGGGAGGCGGAGCTTGCAGTGAGCCTAGATCAGGCCAGTGTACACCAGCCTGGGCGACAGCGACAGAGCGAGACTCCGTTTCAAAGAAAAAAAAAAAATACAGTACAAAGTCTAGACTATGCTTTGTAAAAATGTGGAAGTATAAAGCAAGGCAGAGAAGGGGCCTTCTCTGCAGACTCTGTCTCATGGGTGGACACGTGATAAATCCCTTAAATTGCTTCCCAGGTGCTCGCAAGCCTCAGTAAGAAAGCTGAGTGGCGTGGTTTCTGCTGGAATGACTACTCGAGAACTGTAAACATTACTGACTCTGGTTGGTAGAGTGGAAAAGGAAGTACTTGCTAAATGACTAAGAGAGCTATGCTCCAGGACGGAGAGAAGGAACTACTCCTGCTTAATAGACAGTATAGAAAGAACACCTATTTGAAGCTGCCATGTTTGCAATTTTCTTCCAAGATGCAATTTATGGTTAAAAACTTTAAAATTATTAGTGCTTTCAGTTGACTCTTTTCTATAGATTATATTTTAATTGAGAAATTATTCTCTCTGCAGGTGCAAAATCTGTTAGAAGATATTTTCAATTCTATTTTCTGTATTAAAATGCATAAATACTTCAGCTACAATATTTACAAAAATATTGTTTTTTGCCTCCTTTCAGAGTACCTTTATTCTATAAACATTTTTGCAAGACCAGGATAATTTGTTCCTATTTTATGGCACTTTTAAATGTTTTGTAAAGTTTAGATGCTACAAAAATCATAGTCCTTGTCATTTCATTGCAGTGCAGAGCTGAGTACAAATGTATCCAATTATAAGAAGGAGTACCATTAAAAGATTCTTCCCACATGTTGAAATATTCGAAAGCATACGTATAATTTCAAAATTATATATTTTACCCTGAGCTCTCATCAGTTAATTTGCTCATTTCCACCCTTGCTCTTGCTGGGATAACTTTCATCATCTTTCTGTTTGCAGCCATTGTTTTTAAAGATATTTCAGCACTTGTTGATATTTTTATCTGATTTTTGTAATAGCATTGACAGTGATGTCAGCTGGTTCATCTTTGACAAGAAAAGCCCTGGGTTACTGACAACAATGGATACGTAGGTACATCTTGTGAATGTATAAACATTCAAAATTATGAGAAAACAGCCTAAAAGCATCTGTGTCACATTTCCAGAGTTCGTAATAAGGAAGACCGTTTCCTTCCCATCTGTTTTCCATATTGATTTAAAATGAGTACTGGCCAGAATTCTTGACTGATTGATTTATACTCAAATCATTTTCCACATAGCACCAAAGTGTTTGACTCCAAACCCCTACATTAGATGAAGATGCTAACAGTTCTGGTTATCAGGAAGCAGCCTCACATCTCAAGCTTCGGCCAAAAGCAAAAGCAAAAAGTGGGGTCAGGCGTGGCTTTTTAATGAGAAAAATGTGTAGGCATATTCCTCACTAACACTGCATGGGGAACTTTCAGTTCCTACGAACTTACGCAAATTGACTATTAAAAGAAATACTAGTTTGGACTCATAATGGTACAAAAAAAACCTATATTAATAAAAGAGGATATAAGTAGGTATAAACTAGGAAAGGGGGGGGGAAATTGGGTGTCCTATACTACATTGATTTGACCTGTTAGTATTCTCTGTAAATATGATGAAAGTAAAAAAAAGTCAAGTATAACCTAGGCATCCCATACACATGTACCATCCTCTAATGATAATCAGAGATTCTTTTTGGCCAAAGAATTCCTTGAGATCAACAATGTATCAAAGATTCTATCATGTCTTCACTCCTGACAGCTCAGGGCTAACCAGGTTCTATGTGAATATCTCTAAGTACAAGAAAACAATACTTACCCATTACGTGGGAATAACATTAAACGTCACAGTCACAGTTTCAATGAAATCTTTTTAAAGCGTTATATTGCCCCAGACCGTTGATATCTAAGTCAATTAGTGACAATAGTGGCTGGTGCTCCAGTTGCGAAAAAAAAGAAAAATGGTAGCATCCAATATTTTATTTCTAGGCAGCCTTACCAACTTATAAAGCTCTTTGTCTACTTAGCACATTGGTTTGCACATAGGATAAACTCGATATATGTTTAGCGATTAAATTAGAAAACATGCATGTGAATTATTTCTGGAAATCAATTTTAACACAACGTCAATTTATGTGAGTATATATTAGTATCTAGAAACAGAGTATCTTTATTTTGCTGACAGTTTCTTAAAGTTTCAAAGCCTATTACTTCCCTAAACTCTATTTTAATCTTGAAAAACTTCATTTTCCTTTCCTGTGCGTGTGCTATTATTTTAGCTGGGAATAAATTCCAGAGCACTGAACCACATTCTGCAAATTCTGTGAAGTTTGAGAATATGAACTTCTTCTCCAAAGTGGGTATTGAAAGAGTTGTTCATCTGACAGGTTTCAATGGTATTTAATCACTTTCCTCCTTCTCATATTGGAAAATGTGTTTTCTTTACTCAGACAATTGAAAAATATTGCCATTATTTTGAATTATGTTGTCTTTTAAAAGAAGTTTATCTCAGGCGTTACTTCAGCTCCTTTTCAATATATATACTTTTTAACCTGTCTATTTTCTAGAGTGTCAAGTATGCCTTTCTTATTTCTCTAGTGTCTTTGACTGATTTATAAGGTTTTATTTTTAACTTACAAATTGTAGTTTTTCAGTTCTAGGTTTAAAGAGGTGATTTTTTCTTATTATGATTAGTTCCTTTACAAAGAACATTTTTAGTGTCGTCTACCTTTTCTATGATCATAGCTCACTTTTATATTTCCTGTAATTTTTTTCTAACCTTAGTCTTTCCTATAAAAGTCAATTTTTGAACTCTTTCACATTTCTTGCCAGAATGAATTGTTTTCTTTTCTGACTCCTGTTTCATTCTAGGCTGTTCTCTGTTTTTGACGCTATCATTCCTACCTTTTCTCATTTCTCTGTGTCTCTGCCTACCTTTCCATATTGCATTACAGTGATTATTTAAAATATATGTTGTAGACATCTCTTTGGGCCAGGTCATCACCTTTTATGTATTTGAAAATATAGTTTATCTCCAAACCTACTTCTCCATGGTTGGAGAAAGTACTTTGGCTCCTTCTCCACCACACAAAGTTGGAAAGTTTACAAGGTGGCAAGAGTCTGAATTTAAGAATTCTGGGGATCCACACATGTGAGTAAAGATAAGTGACAATTTGGAATAATGAGAGAAGAAAAGCTAGTAGCAAGTGATAAAGTGAACTTTAAGAGAAAGAAAAAAAATAAAATGAACACATAAGAGTATAAGAAATGTTAGGCAAGTCTTTCCTGATTTGTATGTTAAACATATCGAAGAAGTGGAAGCAAGTTTCTCATCAAAATATTTAATTCCAAGGGAATATTTTTTAATACAGATATCCCAGGCAGCAGGAATGGTTCTGGAGGTGGGGTTTTAGATACTAGAAAAGAATGGTGTGCACTTCATCCCTTCTGGGAGTTTAGTTTACTTATGGTGAGAAAACCTGCAACGCAAGGTCACTGTTGATTAAGTGGTGAATAAATGGAACAAACCATCACATCTCTAAAATCACAGGAGAAAGGAGGTTTATGGCTTAGATCTGTGCCTTGATACTATTGTATTATTATTTTAACATGTATTTCTATTAAATAATAATGCACATTTTTCTATACTTTTTGTATTTGATTTTTGAAATCAGTAACTTGTTGATTATTAAAAACCCAAACATCCTTGGTTAATTAAAAGGGCAGATTTAGTCTGGCTAGGGGTTTTCCATTTTATTATCATTTGAAAGCATTAGCTTTGAGCTTGAAAAGGAAGACATGATCTCACTTTTATGTAGAATTTTTTTAAAGTTGAACTCAAAGAAGTAGAGAGTAGAATGGTGTTTAACAGGAGTGGATGTGGGAGGGTGGGTTGCACTGATGTTGGTCAAAGGATATGAAAGCAGAAGGAAAAAGTTCAAGAGGTTTATTGTATATCATAATTAATAACAATACACTGTATTCTTGTGAATTGCTAGGAGAATAGATTTTAAGTGTTTTCACCACAAAAATATGATGAGTATATGAGGTAATATATCATTACCTCATATACTCTTGATTTAGCCATTTCATAATGTATATATATTTAGCTTGATTTAGCCATTTCATAATGTATACATATTTATAAACATGATGTTTTATGCAATACATATATAAATTTTTATCAATTAAAAATAAATAACTTTTTGAAAGAAAAGGAGTTTCAAATGTCTGCAACAGAAAGTTTGAAATGTTTGCAATTTAAGACAGGAATCATCACAAAATATGTGCATAAAATGGCAGTCTTTAATAAGCATTCATCACCACTTAGAGCTGTAGACGTCAATATGCAACTGCCCAGGTGTTTGGTAATCAGGAATGAATAAATGCTTGCTCCTGGGATGCCAGATGGAGAAGGCCAGACAGTCTTAACATAAGAAAGAAAACTGAAAGTGACATTTAAGGCTGTAGCTAAATCATAGATTGCATTAAATAAATGATAAAATAACAGGGTTTGAGAGAGAGGTTGTCAGTAACTGGAAGCCATTTTAACTGCTTTCTTTTTTAAAAAATGTTCTTCAGTTTTCCACTTTTTCTACTGAAGCTGTCAAGGAAGATGACTGCAATTTTAAATGAGATGTTCCACAATTTTTCCATGGCACTGATTAAAACTCAATGGCAAATATTTTGTGCTGCCCCCCACATCTACCTGATAATGGATCATAATCACAACAAGCAACTGAAATCTTTCTCAAGAAATAATATGCTGCCATTAGGCATTTGGGGTGAAAGGAAGAATGCACTGAATAAATGCCTTTATTCTGATATTATTTGGGGTCCTTTCTCACCAGCCTTTCAGATTGCTATAGCACAGGTTGGATGCTCTCAAAATATACAGTGAAGGGAATGGGCTTGAGCTTCCAGAAACTCATTGACAGAGGCTCATGAACAGCTGTGAGTGAATCTGCATACACCTTGCATCTCCTCTTTAAACACTGCTGGCCACCCAAAGCCTCACTGGTAAGGTTTGAAGCAAATAATGGGTTCAGCACTTCCCAAGCAGGAGATGCTCCTGAGAAGACAGTGTCAGGCTATTTGCTTATAAAATTATTTGGGAAGGGATCATAAATACAAAAAGTTTTCTCTTACTTGTTTATACATTTCCTTAGAAAGTCCCTAATCAACTTATATTAGAAACAATTTTTAACGCAGAACGGGTCACTCTATTTACTATTTTGAAAACCCTTGAAGGGGAGCGTTGCCTGCAAGATAAAATACATGATGCCTACCACAGACTGGAAGGCCCTTTAAAATCTTTCCTGATACCTAATGCTTCCGCTGCCTCGAACCGTGCTGCTTTTGCTCCTGCATGAGTGTATTAGTCATTCTCACGGTGCTAATAAAGACATTTCCAAGACTGGGTAATTTTTAAAAGAAAGAGACTTAATGGACTCACAGTTTCACATGGCTGGAGAAGCCTCACAACCACAGCAGAAGACAAAGGAAGAGCAAAGGCGGGCTCTTACATGGCTGCTGGCAAGGGCTTGTTCAGGGGACCGCCCATTTATAAAACCGTCAGATCTCGTGAGAGGTATTCACTACCATGAGAACAGCATGGGGGAGCCGCCCCCATGATTCAATTCTCTCCGCCTGGGCCAGCCCTTGACACGTGGGGATTATTACAATTCAAGGTGAGATTTGGGTATGGACACAGCCAAATCATACCAATGAGCTAGAGCTGGCTACTCACCTCCACCAAAACCGTTTGCATTTTCATATCTCTGTTCACTTGTTTTATTTTTCCCTTTGCTTAAAATGTCCTCATTTCTCTGGTAGACTCCTAAAAAATTAACAATCAGAATGTTTCCAATGCTTCCATTCTACCCTTAACCCTCCAAGTAACTACCCCTTTCTTCCTCTAGTTTTCCCCTACAGTACCTTGTAAATATTTTATTGTCGCCTTATGTTAATGCTATTTTAGTTTGATCTCCTCAATGGCAGAAATTGTTCCTATATCACTGGAACTAAGCATGATGGGTACATTGTAGAAACTCATCAAGTGTTTGTAGAAAGAAACAACCAAAAAGATAGGAGGATGCAGGGGTTGGCAAGGAGAGAAAGAAGAGAAGAGATAGACAAATGAGGATATGAAGGAGAAAAAAGGAAAGGAAGGGAATGGAGAGTTGGAGTGAAGGGAAGGGGGAGAATTACACAGACAGAAAATAAGTCTTCAACCATGTGAGTAAAATTAAAATGTCAGTATTCATCAAAAATAAAAAATCAAAATTTAAAATGTGCTAATTTGGGAATTACAGAAATCGAAAAGTAGTTACTAAATACCTATAATAAATATGCTGGTAGGTTGCACCTAGCCAATAAATATGAGAGTGACTATGAAACAATATTTCAGAGTCCTGAAGTCAAAAGGACTAATTAGTTAATATTTTGTCAACATCGATCTACTTTTATTAGAATCAAAACTAAAAATAAGGCAGTTGTCTTCACTTAGGGGTGAAGACACCAACATCAATTTCTCAGCCTGAAATGAACATTTTTGAGAAACATCCTAATAACATGTATCCCTAACCACATGTCAAGGACTAATAACATTTATTCTAAGATTATGTTTTATAATTTACTGGCAAAAGTAGAGTGATGATGATGGAAATAATAGGATAGGAAAAAGAGGGGGGAAAAAAAGCAAAGATATTTTATCCTAACATATGTACATATTTAAGTTAAGTCTATTCAAAATATTTTATAAATCAAACCTGTATTGGCCCAGATCAGGAATGAAAAATATATCAAGTCAAGTAGAACTCATTTGGTGAGATGGAAACCATTTGCGTTGCTACCATAGTTTTTTAATTTCCCTCTTATTCTAGTACGTTTCATTTCAATTTCCTTGGATCAGGACTTTATTATATCAGATTAATGGAAGAAATCTATTTCTATCATACATATGGTTACTTCTGGATTAATTTGTTAAATAGGCTTTAATTTTATTGTTTCTTCAAATCTCTCTCTAACCTGAAGCTTCCTTCTAAGTATTTGCCTAACATATCAGGGTGACATACTTCATAGAACTCGAGTATTCACTATGAGCACATCTGTATTTAACTTTCTGTCTGTGGTTAATGGGTTATCTTAGTTCACCCCACTGTAATGGGTCGGTCATGTTTGCCCACTACATGAAAACGTAATGACATTTTGCTCAACCAAGATTGTACTTGAGAGGGGAAAAAAGTGAAAGAGGAGAGATGCTTCTGTTTTCTTTGCATTGTTCCTTTATTGCTTTAGTCTTTGAGTACATTGAGTTGAGAAAAGGAAAAACTGAGCGAGCTGGAAAAAAGATAGAAGCTTGACAAACAATCAAAATTATGTGAGGGAATTACTTCTAAAATACCTTGCCGCAGTCTTCTCCCTGGCCAGCACAAACTTCTGTTTAGAAGAATATTAGAGGCTGGGCGCGGTGGCTCACGCCTGTAATCCCAGCACTTTGGGAGGCCGAGGCGGGCAGATCATGAGGTCAGGAGATCGAGACCACGGTGAAACCCCGTCTCTACTAAAAATACAAAAAAAAAAAAAAAAATTAGGCAGGCGCGGTGGCGGGCGCCTGTAGTCCCAGCTACTCAGGAGGGTGAGGCAGGAGAATAGCAAGAACCCCGGAGGCGGAGCTTGCAGTGAGCCGACATCGCGCCACTGCACTCCAGCCTGGGTGACAGAGCGGGACTCCGTCTCAAAAAAAAAAAAAAAAAGAAAAAAGAATATTAGAGAACCACATTTTATTTTCAACATTATCAAACAGTTGCCTTCTTTTAAAGAAAGCAATAATGAACTAATGGTTCTGAAAACAGTAATCGCTTATGACTGTCATTGAAATCACTGTTAGTGGTGTATGGATGGCAGGTTCCAGACAATTGCCAGAGACAAAAAAAAAAAAAAAAAAAAAAAAAATGCTACCTGAAATATTTTTCACACAGCTCCTGTGGATATCTCTGAATTCAATTTTCTATTCGTTGTGACAGATATTCCCAAACAGGTCTAGAAAAACATACTATTCCACAAACTTGCTCCACCCCAAGTAGGTCTCCCTGGGAATTAATTATTTTAGTGACAAATTCATTATAAAAGTTACGGCCTATAATGAACTTACACTGTTCCATTGGAAGCCAGTTATGAACAGTGTGTACTTGAAATCGTTTTTGTTTGATTCCTTCCTTCATTTATGGTTTAAAAAATCTGCTCATTTCATCTTGTTTTTTGTTTTTTTGGTTTTTTGGTTTTGTTTTTTTTTTTTTTTTTTTTTTTGAGACGGAGTCTTGCTCTGTCGCCCAGGCTGGAGTGCAGTGACACGATCTCAGCTCACTGCAAGCTCCACCTCCCGGGTTCACGCCATTCTCCTGCCTCAGCCTCCCAAGTAGCTGCGACTACAGGCACCCACCACCGCGCCTGGCTAATTTTTTTATATTTTTAGTAGAGATGGGGTTTCACCCTGGTCTCGATCTCCTGACCTCGTGATCCGCCCGCCTCGGCTTCCCAAAGTGCTGGGATTACAAGCATGAGCCACCGTGCCCGGCCTGCTCATTTAATCTTGATTACATTTTCTTTGTTTTATTTTTCCCTCATTTTTAAAGCAAAAATATGTCAGTAGACCTCAGTCCTCAAATTGGCTTCACCTCTATCATTTGCAGGATCTCTCCTTTGTCTGTACTCTTCACTGCCCACATCAACTTAAAGCAAAGCAAGCAAACAAGCAAGGAAATAATGATTCTTAAAGTGAAAATAATTCAATATATTTGGGAAGGCCTTTAATAGTTTTTAACATAAAAGAAAAAATATAGAAGATAACAAGGCAAACTGCAGTATGCCTGTGAGAAAGCTTTAGTTTTCCTATCCATGGTGCAGTGGGGGTAGGGCGTAGGACGAATAATTTATATTTTGGAATAATCCAAGTACCTTACTTTGTGAGTTTCCCAACTGCCTCCTCATCATTCTCATTCAAAGGCTAGTGACATGGTGTTCACTGTTCGAGTAATGGGTTCACTAAAAACCTAGACTTCGCCACCATGTAATATATCCATGTAGCAAAACTGCACTTGTACCCCCCGAATCTATAAAAATAATAAAATGAATACAAAATTGATGCATTTGAATTCCACCTTTTAAAATTTCCCTAGTCTCTCTTTGATGTGGTCCTAGTATCCTAAGGAATGCATCAGTGTTGTGGGCGGGGAATCCTGTCAAACCATAAAACTAGATAATTAGAGCCTTAATAAATAGGCTTTCTGACCTCCCGTGGAGTTCTTGAAAACCCTTGGAGATGAATTTCATACCTTTATTGCATGTTTCTTCTTGCCAGTGGCATAGCAGAAGGCATGGAGAAGAGAATTCCTTTTGGATACAGCAGTAGCAGAAAGAGGCCTTCATGGTATGGTGAGCTGTTCCATGGGAGAAATTGCTTCTTATAATACTTGGATGCCTAGTTCCTGACTTATTAGGCACTCAATAATGAGTGATAAATGAATAAATTCATGACCCAGTCATTGAGCAGGAATGAGAATTCTATTTGATCCTTGCACAACCTACTTCTAGTTAAGCGAACATGCACATGCCATTTTACCTACTTAAATATCAGTTTTCTCATCCAAGAAATTGTAACAGAAATAAGAGTTCCGGCTATTTAACGGGGTTAGTCTGAGCTTCACATGAGATAATGGATGTGAAAGCACTTGAAAACCTACCCATATCATATGGTTTGATAAGGCATGGAGAACAGAATTCCCAGCACTTTGGGAAGGTGAGGTAGGAGGATCTCTTGAGCCCAGGAATGTTACCAGCCTTGGCAACATAACGAGATCCCACCTCTAAAAAATAAAGTAAAATAAAATAAGCATGAAAGCATTAGCTGGCAAGGTGGTACACATGCTTATAGTGTGGAGGCTGAGGCAGGAGCACCACTTGAGCCCAGAGGTTTGAGGCTGCAGTGGGCTATGATTATGCCACTGTACTCCAGCTTGGGTGACAGAGGAAAACCCCATCTCAAAAATAAATTAATAAAGAGCACGGTATTGCTCTCTTGCTCCCTCTCGTGCTTTGTGATATACCTGCTTCCCCTTCAGCGTCAGCCATGAGTAAATTTTCCTGGGGCCCTTACCAGAAGCAGATGCCAGCCCTATGCTTCTCATACACTCTATAGAACTGTAAGCCAGATAAATCTCTTTCTTCATCAATTACCCAGTTTCAGGTATTCCTTTATAGCAATGAAAGTTCGACTAATACACCATATTAGGATGAAAACGATGTATGTACCCTTTCCCGCAGGACCTGCTGGCATGATTTACATATAGGCTCTTCTCTTCATGGTACTGCTTAACTTAAGGAAACCAGCTAGCCAGGCTGGATTGGCTTAGTCCTCAATGAAACCATATTAATGCGCTGGCAAAGGTGGCTTTGGTACTTTCTCACCTGCTCCTAATTTGCACATAGGTCTGTTAGAAATTGCCTGACACAATTTCTATTCAATTTCTCAGAATTCTGATACAAATGTCTTATTTCTCTCCCCTCTAATCTTTGAACACACAACATTAAATAGGCTCCAAACCCTTGTCAGTGTCTCAGTAAGTAGCTGTTGGCCCTGCCCTGGAGCTGATCTAGCTCTGTACGTCTTCCCTCTATCTTTGTCCTCAACCCTAATTCAAGTCTCAGCATCTTTTTATACCTACAATATCAGGATGGCCACATTGATGCTTAAAAAGAGCCATTCCAGACACTGGGACTCAGAGCCTTCATATGCTAATCCCACTGCTGTGGAGAGCAGTGCATCACAGAATCCATTCACACTGGATCCCAGGTGGCTCTCTTGGAACCCCCTGGACATTCTTTTCTTTTTAACAAATATTTATTAGCGGTCGGGCGTGGTGGCTCACCCCTGTAATCCCAGCACTTTGGGAGGCCGAGGCGGGCAGATCACGAGGTCAGGAAATCGAGACCATCCTGGCTAACACGGTGAAACCCTGTCTCTACTAAAAATACAAAACAATTGGCCGGGCGTGGCGGCGGGCTCCTGTAGTCCCAGGTGTTCTGGAGGCTGAGGCAGGAGAATGGCGTGAACCCGGGAGGCGTAGCTTGCAGTGAGCGGAGATCCTGTGACTGCACTCCAGCCTGGGTGACAGAGCGAGATTCTATTTAAAAAAAAAAAAAACAATAATAATAATAATAATAATAATAATTATCAGCATCTACAAAGTACAAAATGTGTTTTAAATTATGCATAAAAAATCTGATTTCTGTAACTTACATTGTCTTCCTCTGTTCCTTCATAGATAATTATTTTTGTTTGTTTACTCTTCCAATGTCTATTCAAATACAAGCCAATAAAAATATACATACACATATTCTTATTTCCCCCACATTCTTCCATGAAAACTTATATTGTAAACTTTTCTTCCCTATAAATCTTCACTCAACAACACATATATATATAAGTATATAGACAGTCTCCAAAACGTTTTTCAACTGCATAATATTCCATGGTGAGATATGTACTATCATTTTTCTACCAGTCTCCTAGGAGTGGAGTCTCGGCTGCTTCCAGTCTTCTATTACAAACAGTGCTACAAAAATTAACCTGGACATGCTGTTTGCATACATGTGGTCATAGGAAGGTGGAATTGCCTTGTCAAAGCATTAATGCATCTGTCAGGTTTCTAGTTTATAGCCATTACTAATCTTCACTCATAGAATGTGTTTCATTTTGTACTTCGGAAGTGTGAATATTTTCACACTTTGCTGTTTCTCTTTTGACTTTGCGTATGTTTGTGTTTCTGCTGTGCAGAGATTTCTAAAATTTAGCAAATATTTTCTTTTATGGTTTCTGGATTTTGAGTCATCAGGGCCTTTTGGATGTCTTGTTTGTATTGATTCTTTGACATTTATTGAGGGTGACTTTGTGGACCAAAGTATGGCCAATTTTTACTTATGTTTTACGTGGTTTGAAAATTATGTCTAATCCATTTTCCGTACAAAAGTCTATATGTGTATATCTTTTTGAGGCTACTAATCAACTTTTTCAAATATTCTATAACTTTACTTTTTCTTCCTATGTGATCCAACAATTTCTGAAAACTGTAAGTTAAAATCTCCAAATGTATTTTGATTTATTTATTTCCTTACGGAATTCTGTCAGGTGTTGCATTTTATAAGACTATATTGTTCTGGCACAAGTGTCTATGATCAATTTTTCTTTTTATGAAATGTCACTTTTATCTGTAGGTAACTTCTCTTTTTTGTTCCTTATGACTTTTCTCCTTAATTCTCCCTTGGGGGAATCTGATAATATGCTTTTGGTGGATTAGGGATGAGCTAACCCACGTGTTAGCTTCTCCCTTTTCTGACTATTTAGAGACTCTGGTAAAATTAGCTTTAGGGTGGAGTGTTTTTTATATTTAATACAGTTCTAAAACCTTCCAATCACACCTTCCCTCCTGCTATCGTTTGGATGTTTGTCCCTTTCAAATCTCATGTTGAAATTTGATCCCCATTGTTGGAGGTGGGGCCTAGTGGAAGGTGTTTAGGTTATGGGAGTGGATCTCATGAATATATTAATTAGATTAATGGCCACCTTAGGAGTGAGTAAGCTCTCTCTCTCTAGTAGTTCCCAAAAGAGCTAGTTGTTAAAAAGAGCCTGGCATCTCCTTTCTTGCTGTGTCTTGCTCCCTCTTTCTTGCTCTGTCTTGCTCCCTCTCTTGCCATGTATCTCTGCACTGCTGGCTCCTCCTCACCTTCTTCCTTGAGTGGAAGTAGCTTGAGGCCCTCACCAGAAGCAGATACTGGCACCATGCTCCTTGTGCAGCCATAAGCCACATAAACTTTTCCTCTTTGTATATTACGCAGTCTGAGGTATTCTTTTATAGCAACACAAAACAGACGAAGATGCTTCCTGTCTAGCAAATTTTGTGTTTCAGGGAATCTGTTAATATCTCAACTCTAGGTGCTCTTTTCAAAGAACTACCCTGGGTATATTCATCCAGATGTGGTAAATGATAATGGAATTCATAGAGGCTAACCTATCAACATTAAGTAGAACAGTTACAATTTACTCCTTAGTAGTACATCCTTGATGTTACCCCAGTGAGTCCAGTCAGCACTGAACTGCTGTTACTGCTTTTTGGCCCGTAAATGGATCTGGCACAATCAATGATCCAACCAGGGCACATTCTGAAGAGCTGCCAAGGGGCTGTCTTTGGTACTCATTCTTTCTACCAGGATTTTCATTTCCTGAGCTTATGTTAGGCCCCAGTCATCATCTAGCAAATCAGCAGTTTCTTGTAGTTTAAGTATTAGCTTCTGGGATAAATAAACATTCTGTTGTTTCTAGGATATCTGCAGGGTCATATTTGGGGGTGGGAATAAGCAGCTATTAGTTCACCATCTTGTCTAAAGTAGTCATTTTGTCTCTCCCACCCTTCCTAATAAATGCATATTTCACAGTTTACAATGAACCTCACTACGTCTATCCCAAAATGGTGGCAGAACATATTTTTGCAAAAAAAAAAAAAAACCTAAGGCTTTATTGCATATCCATTTTATAAATAATTTAAATATGTAGGCTTCTTGAAAATTGAGACCATATTTGATTAAGTATTGAATTTTTCTAAATATATGCTTTGAGCATAGTAGGTGCATTATAAAAGATATTTGATTTAATGGGCATTTTCAACATAACTGAACTTCATAAGAATGCCTTTTACACATGGACAAGGGATATGGTAATTTATGCCATCTCAAATATGCCATCCAGATTATTTTGTATATGAGAAGTATATTTTCTCTCTGTCATGTGGTTTCTGAATGAAATGTTTTCATGAGTATTATAGCTTAAATTATCTCCATTTCATTAGTTTAAAAGCCCAAAGAAGAAATCTAGTGTAAAAATCTTTCACTGAAATACTCAAGAGCTATATACTCTTTTTTCAAAAAATAATCTAAAACATAACCATGACACAGGTTGAGCTCAGAAAATACGAGTCATAAACTCAATTTTTGAAGAAGAGGTAATACTGTCTTGTGTTAAAATCCTGGGCTTTCAAATACAGTTAGTTATTGTGCAGTCATAGTTTTTTCTCCAAGATGAACAAATAGGGAGAAATTCAAGATAATGAAGTAAAAGTGGAAAATGAGAAAAATAGCAGAGTCTAGGATAAATTTAAGGTTTGGGACATTTGAAATATAAGGAAAAAAATAATCACCAATCACCCATGCATCTGGTGAAAAACCTACGTGGAGAAAGTGAACAGTAAAACACAGCTACTGGTGAAGCTATAACAACACTACCAGGAAATCAAATCTCTATTTATAAACATGAGTACTTTCTTGCCAAAACTCTAAACCTGCTTGACAGTCCTTTGTTTACACCACCAATTGTACCCATTTTTGTTGCTAGTGTCTAGATAGCTAAATACTACTGGAGAAGATGGTACAAAATGAATGGATATAACCATAAATGCACACTTACTAAATCTTAAAACTGCTTACTGGCTGGGCATGGTGGCTTACACCTGCAATCCCAGCACTTTGGGAGGCCGAGGTAGGTAGATTGCTTGAGCTCAGGCGTTTGAGACCAACCTGGGCAACAAAGTGAAACCCTGTCTCTACAAAAAATAAAAAAATTAGCTGGGCGTGGTGACGTGCACTCGAACTCCCAGCTAATGGGGAGGCTGACGTGGGAAGATCACTTCTGCCTAGAAGGTGGAGGCTGCAGCAAGTCATGATAGCACCCCTGCGCTCCAGCCTGGGTAACAGACTCTGTTTCAGAAAAACAAAAACAAAAACAAGACACACACACACAAAGCTTCTTAATATATTTCTTTAGTTAACTAATTTTCATGCTCCCTGCTATGACAATTAGAAAACTTTCTATAATTTCTTCCAACTTCCTAGCCTAGGCTACAGCCTCCTAAATCTCCCCAATTGTCTTGCTCCTCTCAAATAAACGTTTCATAAACAGCTAGTGAAGTTTATGTTTTCTTTAACTTTTTATTAAGGCATAAAATATATGCAGAAAAGTCAAAATATCATAAGTGTACCACTTCGTAAATTTCCCCAAACTGGAAATAGTCATATAGCCATTAGCAGTCAAGAAACAAAACATTGCCGGCTTGTAGCATGTTTAGTTTTGTCTATTTCTGTGCTTTATGTAAATGGATTGATAGAGAATGTATTCTTTATTGACTGGCTTTTTTGGTGGGAATTATGATTATAAAATGTAATCCATGTTGTAGTGTCTATTGTATAATAGTATTTTATTATGTGAATACATGTTTGGTATGTACTATTATATACTTTTATTGTGTAGATACACTAATAGATACTTAGCCACCTATAAATGCCCATTTATATAGTAGGTACTTGGTTACTCTACAATTTAAGCATATCATGTAGTAGCGTTGCCATCAACATTTCTGTTGATATCTTTTGGTGAGCATATATATGCTATGCTATTGCGTATGTATCAAAAAGTACAGTACATTCAATTTTACTGAAAAGTGCATTTATTCAGTTTTATTATGTATTTTCAGTTTACTAAAATTTAACACCAATTTACATTAACAACAGCATGAAATTAGTTTCATTTACAATTATAAATGAAAGTGGCAGCTGTTTCAAATGTCTGTCAGCACTTGATATTGTCAGTCTTTTTTTTTTTTCTTGAGACAGTGTCTCACTCCGTTGCCCAGGCTGGAGTACAGTGGTGTGATCTTGGCTCATTGCAGCCTCAGCCTCCTGGGTTCAAGCAATTCTCCTGCCTCAGCCTCCTGAGTAGCTGGGATTACAGGCAGGTGCCACCAAGCCTGGCTAATTTTTGCATTTTTAGTAGACATAGGGTTTCACCATGTTGGTCAGGCTATTCTCTAACTCCTGACCTCGTGATCTGCCTACCTCAGCCACCCAAAGTGCTGGGATTACAGGCGTGAGCCACCCCGCCCAGCCCTTTTTTTCCTTTTAACCATTCTTGAGCATGTGTAGTTGCATCTCATTGTGGTTTCAATTTCATTTCCCTGATAACTAATGAAGTTAAGAACATTTTTAGGTTTACTGAATATTTTGATATGTTCTTTTGCGAAGTTTTTCTATTGGGTCCACTGTATTTCCTTGCTGATTTGGAGTTCGTTATATGAGTTCTTTATCAGACATTATGTTTGCAAATATCTGCTCCCATGCCACTTGTTACACTCTCTTAATGGTGACTTTTCAGGAAAAGAATTTCTTAATCTTACTCTATTCCCGTGCACCATTATTTTTCCCCTTTCATGGTAAATATTTTGTGTGTCCTTTAAAAGAATGCTTGCCTACTCCAAAATGAAAATATTATTTCCTCTGAGCATTTTGTCATTTTGCCTCTTATATCTAGCTGTATAAATTTTCTAGAATTGGTTTTTATGTATGAGGTAGGGGCCAAGATAAATTTGTTTTCCACATGGATATGAAATTAGTCAACAACATTTACTGAAAAGACAGCTTTTCCCTCTCTTCATTGAAATGTTAGCTTAATCATAAATTAGATCACCATGAATGTGTGGGTATGTTTATTTTCTGTTAGTCAGCTTAGCTTTCTCTAACTCAACCTATAATACTGTCTTAATTATTATGCTTTGTAATAGGTCTTATTCTCGATAACTGGTACTGTAAGTTTTTGAGCTATTAATCCTTGTTCATTATTGCTGGGACCATTTTTGGCTCTTTGCGTTTCTGTATAACTTTTAAAATCAGTTCATCAGTTTCCTTAGGAGAAAAAGGCTGGAGTTTTGATGGGGATTGCATTGAATCTATCAAGTATTATTTAGAGAAGTAATAGTGAATCTTACACTACATGAACATGATATATTCCTTCATTTATTTAAGTCTACTTTGATTTTTCTCAATAATGTTTCCAGTGTTAAGCAAAAATGTCTTTTACATTATTTGTTAGATTTATTCATAAGTTCTTAATTTTTTAATGTTATGAATGATTTCATTTTATAGTTTCTTTTCTCTTTGCTTATTACTAACATATAGAAATTCCATTGATTTTTGGTATATTGACTTATACTCTATTATCATGTTAAATTTATCTTTTCTAATATTGTGTCTGCAGTTCTTTGGGATGTTTCATGTACTCTGTCATTTCATCCATGCGTAGGTACTATCTTATTTCTTCCTTTTCAATTCTAATGCCCATGATTTAATTTTTTTTTGCCTTATTGTCCTGACTGAAATTTCTAGTATAACACAAAATAGAAGTGGCGATAGTGAGCATTTTGTCATATTTCTTATTTCATTTGAAATTTTTAAATGCTTTATAATTGATTATCTTGTTCACTGAAGATTTTTCATGGATAGTTTTGTTAAATTAAGAAAGTTCATTTATATTTCAAGTTTGTTGAAATTTTATCACAAGTGCGTGGTGAATGTTGTCAAATAAGTCGTCTATATTAATCTAGCTATTTAGTTTTTCCCTTCATTGTATAAACTTGAATAATTACATTATTTGATTTTCTTATCTTTAATGGCCCTTTCATACTTAGAATCAACCCCACTTGGTCCTGATGTATTGTCCTTTTGATATTACTAGATTTAGTTGGCTAATTTGTTAAGGATTTAATGAGAGAGACTGGTCTGTAATTTGCCTTTTTTTTCTTAACCTTTTTTTTTTTAGACGAAGTCTCGCTCTTGTCCCACAGGCTGGAGTGCGATGGCGTGATCTCAGCTCACTGCAACCTCCGCCTCCTTGGTTTAAGTGATTCTCTTGCCTCAGCCTCCCGAGTAGCTGGGATTACAGGCGCCTGCCACCATGCCTGGCTAATTTTTGTATTTTTAGTAGCGATGAGGTTTCACCATGTTGACCAGGCTGGTCTCAAACTCCTGACCTCAGGTGATCCACCTTCCTCGGCCTCCTAAAGTGCTGGGATTACAGGCATGAGCCACCACCCCTGGTCACTTTTGTTAAGATAAATATTTGTTTATTGATTTATTGTTATGCTGGTCTCATATAAAATAATTAGAAGTTGATTTTTTTTTTCTGTTTTTTCTGGAAGATTTTGTATAATATTGCCATTAATACTTTGTTAAATGTTTGGGAGAATTCACCAGTAAAGCCACTTTGGCCTGGGGTTTTCTTTGTAAGAAATATTTTAAGTAGACAAAAGAGAATAAGATTTGTCTACTAATTGTTTTAGTCCTTATGGTTTTTTTAAAATTACAGTAAAAGGTAATTTAAATGAAAAAAAAGAAATATTTTAAGTAATACTTAAAATTTCAGTTTCTTTAATAGACATAGAACTATTTAGATTTCCTTCTTTTTTTCAGCTATGGTAATACATTTTTGCAAAAGGTATCCATTTTATTTAAATTATCAAATTATCAACATGAAGTAGTTGTAATATACATAATTTTGCAGTATAGAAGAGTCACCTTTTCCATATGAATCTATGATCATACTACTTCTCTGCCTAAATATTTTAATGATATTTTTGGCTTTTAGTTAAAGTTCATCATGTCTAATACCACCCCAATTATGTTATTAATCTCTGTGGTACAACTCTTTACTCTCTGCTCACTGCTTTCTAATCAGAATGAGCTTGTCTGTTTCTTAAACATCACTTCTTTATCTCACCATAGGGCCATGGAACAGGTTTGTTCTCTACAGGACTTTTCTTTCTCATTCAGTCTCTTAAAGTAGTCAAGAGTCATAGTTACCTTTCAGGACTCATCTCAAATATCAGTTCCTCACAGAAACATTTCTTGACAACCTTGCTCTTCACCCTTCCACCTCTGAATCAGAAAATGTGGAGATGTTGCCTAGAATTTGCGTTTTTAATAGTTTCTCAGGTATTTCTTTTATATATTTGAAGTCTGAAGATTTCTGTCTTAGTACTTGGTTAAAGTAAAACATATCCTAATTAAAATGTGATGGTCACTAATATTGCGGAGTAGAGAAAAGTAAGATACCTTCTCTGGAGGGCAAAGAATCATCTTGTAAGTGCTTTCTTGTTTCTCTTTTTTTAACCCTGCAAGTGGCTCAATTTGTTTTTTACTAATGAACGCTGGGCCATAAGGAACCTGACATGGGTGAGAGCAGTATATCTAATCCACTTAGGATGTCTGAGAAACAGATACTATCCTGGAAAGAGCAGTATCTTTGCATTAATGAAGGCAACTAATAAGCCCTACTCTGCCAGTCTTACAAGATCATTGTTGGGAAGCTAATAAAAAAAAGTGCAAAAAAGTTCCATAAACTACAAGTTGAAAGATTAGCTACAGATTGATCACCTGTGAAAACACACCTTTTGTTAGAATCGTAAGAGCTGAGATTGCAGAACAAATCTAAGGAAAAATAGTTACCTGAAGAGACCAAGGGAGGACCAGCCTCAGCAACAAGGAAAAAATTACATTCATTTGCAGGCTCTTCTCCATGTACCTGAAAAAGTGCTTACAAGAAAGATTGAGGGCAAAGTGAACGAGTTGAGAAGATTTCCTCTTATGTACATCATGTGGGAGCCGGGGGCTGAAGCAGCCTCCATAGTAAAGGCATGAAGGCCTGATTGGATTCTTCTTGCACATCTGTCTCCCCAGAATCAGAGCTGCCCAACTGATCCCATCTTAGATCAGCTCACCTCCAACTGGCTTGGATTGGGCTATGGCCTGGGTGGAGTTTAATTGTATCTCCACCCACAGTATGAGAAAAACTACATATTTCATCTTTGTTCCTGATCCCTGACACAGAGCTTCAAATATATTTGAAATTTCCTGAGTGATAGAAGTGTCTTTTGTAAATCATAATTAGCCCTTTTTAACCATACCTGAGTTTATGCTACTGAGGTGATACGTGGTAGGTCCCTATATATCTTCCAAATGAAGGTAGTCACAAAAACAACAACAAGAACAACAACAACAACAAACACATGTAATTAGAGAGTTGGAAGTTTCAGCCACACTTTCCAACCTTCAGGGAAGGGGAAGGGGCTGGAGATTGACTTCGATCACTAATGACCAATGATTTAACCAATCATGTGTACATAATTAAACCCCATATAAAAACTATGAACATCAAGGCTCAGTGGAGCTTCCAGCTTGGTGAAACATTGATGTGCAGGGAGAGTGACACATGTGGATTTCATGAAGAGAGGGCATAGAAACACTGCATATACCCTCCACCCCAGAGCTTGTCAAATGCATTTCTTTTGTTAGGCTATTCCTGAGTTAAATCTTTATGATAAAATTGTAATTCTAAGTATAGCTCTTTCAGTGAGTTTTCTAAGTCTGTCTAGCCAATTATGAAACCAAAGGCTGCTTCATGGGAGCTCCTGAAATTTTAGCAAAGTCAAACAGGAGGGTGGGTAACCTGGTGCTTTGGACTAAATTGTGTTCCCCTAAAATTCATGTGTAAGCCGTGACTCCAAGTTGATAGTGCTTGAAGATGGGGCCTTTGGTAGGTAATTAGGTTCAGATGAAATAATGATTATGGGCCATTATGACGGGATTAGTGTCCTTGTAAGAAGAGACACCAGAGAGCTTCTCTCTTTTTTATACATGAGCACGTGAGCATTTGCAAGCTAGGAAGAGAGCCCTCACCAGAAACTGAATAGTCCAGCACTTTGATCTTAGACTTCCCAGCCTCTAGAACTGTGAAAAAAAAAATACATTTCTGTTTCCACTATTCAGTCTAAGTCATGTTTTATTGCAGTCCCAACAGATTAAGACTCGTAGGAACCCTACTGTGGCTGGCATCTAAAGCAAAGACAGTCTTGTGAAAGACTGATCTTAACTTTTAGTGTCTGCTCTAACACCAGGTAAGTGGTGTCGCAATTGAATTGAATTGGAGGACATTCAGCTTATGTTAAAAAAAAAAAATGGTGTTGGGATTTAGTATCAAATGTGCAGCAGTGTTAAATTTTCTGTATCCAATATTCCTGAGGTACAGAACAGGGCAACCAATAACATGTGGTATCTGAACTTCCCCTCAGGCAAAATATAAGCATCTATAACTTTCAAACTGCTTTCAATTTTATTGTCTGCATCCTTAGATCTATCCCCAGCACCTAAAGCAATGCTGGCACATAATAGATGCCCAATAAATATGTGTTGAATAAATAAATGAACCAATAGATTTTTTTTTAGAAAATGAGCTTATTGTTGTAAATGCTATAAGAGTTTTGAAAATATTTTTCCGTAAGTTTTTATGAAATATGTACTTGCTGCTTAGGTTTAGTCTAAATGGAATATGGAATTTTCTTAGTTTATTAAATTTGGAATTGCCTCAAACCTCCAATTTCACAATATGGTAATACCTTAAACCCTGTACTCATACACAAAACATAACTGTGCTAATTTATAAAAGTTTATATTTCTATGATTTCCCTCAATTTCTGTCTTGCTTTTGATAGAGTGTATATGCTTTCTGCTTTATCTCATGCTCTCTCATGCAAAGCTTTTTCCTATTGATCAGTGCACATACGTATGCCCACACATAGCACACACCTCTAAACCAAACATTTTGTAAACTTAGTGTATTAGGGTTCTCTAGAGGAACAGAACTAATAGGATACAAGTATATATACAAGGGCATTTATTAAGGAGAATTGACTCATATGATCACAAGTTAAAGTCCCATGATAGGCCGTCTGCAAGTTGAGGAGCAAAGAAGGCAGTGGTGGATCAGACCAAGTCCCAAAAGTTCAAAAGTAGGAAAGTCAACAGTGCAGCCTTCAGTCTGTGGCGAAAGGCCCGAGAGGCCTAGTAAACCACTGGTGTAAGTAAGTCCAAGAATCTGAAAGCTGAAGAACTTGGAGTCTGATGTTCAAGGGCAGGAAGCATCCAGCATGGGAGAAAGATGGAGGCTAGAAGACTCAGCAAGCCTAATCCTTCCACGTTCCTCTGCCTGCTTTTATCCTAGCCATACTGGCAGCTGATTAGATGGTGGCCACTCAGATTGAGGGTGGGTCTGCCTCTGCCAGTCCACTGACTCAAATGTTAATCTCCTTTGGCAACATCCAGGAACGATACTTTGCATTCTTCAATCTAATCAAGTTGATCCTCAATATTACCATCACACTTAATAACTTTATATCATATTTGGGGGAGATGCTGGGAAGTCACATGACAGTCGGTTATTCTTTTCTTCATGCTGCTCTCCTGAGTTCTCTGATCGCTGACATCCTAATATCCAGGTCATGTCCATGCCCCACAGACACTCATTTTCCCAAGTGGTCTAATCAAGTCATTTTCCAAACAAAGGCAGCTTGATCCCTAAGTAGCTTTTCCTATCAGCTTTGAGAACTCAATTTTCTCCCTCATTACATTCTCCCATGAGCAAGACAGTTATAGCTCCTTGCGAATTTATTTTAGTAGTTCTCTCCTTGGACCTACGTGAGTAAAAGAAAGGCGGCAGAGTGACAAAGAGGCCCACGCAGTCAGTCCAGACTCTCTCTTCTCTTTCTAGTCTGGAGTTGGGTAGAACTCTTCTCTGAGCTCTCAGAAGGTGACTGTTTCCAGAAGTTTTCCTGTTGTCTACTCCCCTCCTTTGTGGGGATATTAATTACCCATTGCAGTCCTCTTCTGCATTCGAGACCAGCAAGCAGCTTCCCCAGCACCTAATGCAACCGTACAAGTGTCTTGTGGGCCAAAAAGCATGACTGAGAAATGTACAGACATATTTATGTATTTGATTCGAACAAAAGAGCTTTGAGATTTATGATTTAAGAAAAAACAGTAAAATTATTTCCCATTCAGTCTTTCGACACACCATCACCATTCACAAAACAAGGCCCAAAGCTTTTGTGTCCAATCCACCTCTGTGAGGAAAATAGCCTCCTGATCAAAGGGCCAACAAAGTTTACCTCTCTCTGATCCCACCTCCCAGTTTCCAACCTTGTTATCTAGAGAGCACTTACCACTGGAACCCCATTCTCTCTGTCACCAGAGCACCAGGAAATATTGTGCTTTCCCCTGCACCTGCCCCATACAGACTGTAGCCAGTTAGATGCCAGGATGTGTATGCCAGTTGTACCTTAAGATCCTCTTTCTCACAATATTCTCCACGTGACAGGCAAATTGATAGGCATAATCTCAGCCCAGGTCATGGGGCTAACTCTAGGGATTTGTTCTGCTGGAAGTAGAGGCCTCCTGACTTCCACCACCTGGGGCCTTGCTCCTTGCTTGTTGTGTGTTTAATTTCAAGTTGTTGAATATACCCATTACGTCCAGCTTCCAAGTTTGAAGTCTGCAGTCTCAATTCTACTCTGACTCTTTCCCTGTATAGAAGTTAATGTTGCTTCCCTTCTAAGGTAGCTTCACTAATATTGAGTCCATACGTAGGTCATTGTAAAAGTTTAATTTAGCAATCAATATGCAGGGTATTTTCTCCTACCTGTACAAAGACTGCAGTTAGAATGTGAATGTCCAAGTCCCTAAGATTATCTGTATTATTAACAGTGGTAGCATGGCCAGACATTCTGCTTAGTAATAGCTAGATTTGTGACCACAGATAACTCTTAAGGATAGTTTTTAAAAAAGATTCTACCAGCCATGTTTTCCTTGTCCACCTTGGTGGCCTGACAGTCCTGTAGCGCTTTCGTGCTGTATTCTTCCCAACTCAAAATCTTTCTCTGCAACCTTCAGACCAGCACCTCTTGGGAATGTCTCTGGCTTCTTACAGAGAAATGCCATAAAGGATGCTGATTAAACAGAACCATGATAGCTATCCACTTTCCAGGGGATTGCATCTCATCTTTAAAGTGGGGCAAGAATCATATGGGAGTCTTATACATCAGCCATAGACCTCTTTTAGTTCATTTTCAAAAGACATAATTATGCATTTCTTGATGCATGTTACTTCTGTTTTGCCTTTTTGTTCATTGAGAAACTTCATGAATTTTGTCACTCTTGTAAGCTTGTATAACATTGATCTTTATCTATAATAAGCTGTCCCAAAAGCTATGTCCATTACCAGATAGTTTTTATTTTTAAGTCGTATTCCCAGAACCATAATGACCCAGGCAGAGCTATTCTCTATTTCTTTAAGTGCATATAGCCAACAGCTTTCAAGTCAGATTGACATTGCACTTCTACTGGGCTAGTGTGAAGATTTCATCTAATACAAGGCAGGGAAGTGTACTTTCAGTTCATACTTCCTGGAAGAGGAGAGTGGCTTCATCCAATAACTCTTTAATGTGGAAGAGTTCAATCTCCCCTAGGATTCTGCTTAATCCTTGCATTCTTGTGGTTCTCTTCTGCTCTCGGCTCCCGAACCCTCATATGCTCCTTCAGTTTCACCCCATAGCAGTCCAGATGCAAGACGTTAACCTCTTCACCAGTTTCAATGTAAGTGTAAACTCACTGGTATGGTTTGGATGTTTGTCCCTTCCAAACCTCATGTTGAAATGTGAGAGGTGGGGCCTGGTGGTGTTAGGGTCATGGAGATGGATCCTCCATGAATATCTTGGTGTCATCCTTTTGGTAATGATGAGCTCTTGCTCTATTGGTTACCATGAAATCTAGATCATTAAAAAGAGTCAGATGCTTCCCTTCCCTCTCTTTTTCTTTCTCACTTGCTCCCTCTCTTGCCATGTGCTATGCCTGTTCCCTCTTTCCCTTCCACCATGAATACTCACCAGAAGCCAACAGATGCTGGAACCATGCTTTTACAGCCTGCAGAACTGTGAGCCAGATTAGCCTCTTTATAAACCCAACCTCACGTATGCTTTAGAGCCGTGAGAAATGGACTCATACACTCACCAAGGATTTTACCAACTTGATAACTTGCTTGAAGTCGTGAGGGGTCACAAGGAGTTACACGCTGCAGTAAGTACAGTCTTGTCAGATTACTGGGACTCCCTCCCTCTCTTCCTCTCACCCCAACTCCATTCCTTTCACATCCTTCCTCCTCACTTCCGCAAGCAAACAAATGTCTCTCATTTTCTTAAGTGAAGTAGTTTTTCTCTTTTACATAGCACCTATGCTTAGCTATTCTAACGTTTTCCAAAGTCAATGTGCTTCTTAAATTAAAAAAAAACTCTTATTATAGGTAGAAAATATATTTAATTATTATCTGCAGAAATGCATAGTGAATAAAGTAACTATTAATCAAAATGTAACCCACCACACACATAAACATTTTGGTAAATCTAATTTTGGTCTTTTAAAAAAATACATTCTTTAACATACACACAGACACACACACACAAATGGCATCATATCAGGTATTACAAAATGTTTTCCCCTTTTTATGATTAAACATCATGCTGTTAGATATTCTTATGTAAATGAATGTTAATAAGCACATAGCACTCTGTTATATGTATGTTCCTTAATTTATTTTACCAATACTCCATAATTGTTGAGAATTTAGGTTTTATTCTAAATTGTATAGCTATAAGAAATGCTATGAAAAATAACTATTTCATAATTATAAATGTTCACATAGAAAGTTATAATGATGATGCTCTTTTACATTTAAGGAAAAAAAATCAATGCATTTGGTCTACTATAAAAAAAGAACAGACAATTAAAGAGCTAAGAAAAAATAAGAAAAAAGGTAAAAAAAATTTACAAATTGACATTGACTCTCTTCAATATAAACTGAGAGAACGCTGATGTATTTTTCGAAAACTGTTTCTTTTTTCTAAAGCAGAGCACACTATCAGATAACGTGATGAATTCACTGACAGATTTTATTTGAAGCATGGCAGCTACACCACCATAGATATTCACTGCAAACCAGTGGCAGAATTTCATGATAGTCGTTTTACTAAAACAGGAGATCAGATTCCTAGAAGCAATCTTTTCTGGTCTAAAAAAAAGATTCAAGGGAAAGTGATCTTTTCAAAGCTACAGTCACTAGGAAATTCTTTTTAGTAAGCATTGGAATCTTGCAGAACTTGAGCACTGAAAGATTGAAAGAATAGGCCACCCATGACCTGTGTTTCTGAATCCACTCAAAAAAAAAAAGGAAAAAAAAGGAAAAAGAAAAAGAAAGAAAGCCCTAAGCACCTATACAAAATCACTGAAGAATAGCTCACAAGCTACTTCAGGAAACTCCTACTACCTTTTATAGAGGCTAACACACCTAAATGTTAGTATAGGAAAAATTATACATGCATATATACACACACAAGCTCATTGATTTTATATATATATATATATATATATATATATATATATATATATATGACTCTATTTTACTATCATTGACAGATATAAAACTATTTCATGCGGAAAGACTTGATATAATGTAGTGTGTGTGTGTGTGTGTGTGCACTAAAATATTTTAATTTCCTGTGTTAAAAGAAGATAATCAAAACCAATTATAAAGTTTTAAAATATTTTCTTTTCACCAGGCAGAAGATAACTTTTAAAAATAATTTTATTTTGGTTAAGTTTTGTATTTCCTTAAAGATTTGGTTTGCTTTTTCTCTTCCAAAATTGAGACTTCGATAACATATCGGGTTTCCCTTTTTGTCATAATTTTGAGGAAGCTCAGAGACAAATTTAAAATAATATTGAATATTATCATGGTATCTGTGCCTCCCTCTTCTTTGCTTCTGATTTTCTGTGTATACTGCATTATTACCTCAGTTTGCTAGACATACTGGTAGCAGAAATATGACAGTAACAATAGTAATACAAAAGTAATATAATTAAACCCTTTCTTATAAACCATTTAAGAAAACTTTGTAAAAACGATCTGGAAAAAGGAAAGAATTCATATTTAACAACACTAATGGTAGAACAGTTGTTTGTCTCTTTTGTGTCACACATTTCTCTTGAGTAGAAAATAATGTTAAATATTCCAGAAAAAATTAGAAGCCAAGTTTATATGCTTACCCTTGGCCAACTCTGAATGGTAATATGATCTAAAGAAATATTATTTCAGTTATTTGCAATGCAGTTTCAGTGGTTTGTCACTAGGTTTTTATCTAAAATGGAAAGAAAATCAAATTGTACATCATTAAATATTGCTAAATTTCAAAGTTCTGATTTATTTTTGCTTTCAGTTATCTCCTCAAACTGTAAACAATACATTTTAAAGAACAAGTTTAGAAAGCTTAAATGAATGGTACTCCTCTTAATAAATTATCTTTTTTCTCCCAATGCACTTATCTAAGGCAAAATCCATAGTTGCAAAGGTATAGAAAAATAAATAGGAGAATTGAAACTGTGATCCCAACAATTCAATCCAAAACACTATCTGGCCATGTTATGAGAATGCATTCTTTGACCTGATTCATTAATATAATTAATTAGTCACTTGGTAATGATTATCTTCTTTCTACTGTATTCAGACAAAATTATAATAATAGCCAATAACAAAAGCCATATGTATTGATGAATGAGAACAGGGCTATCAAGTCAAGAAATTACTATAGTTGAATGTATTTAAATAGGAAAATCTTCTTAAATTACTTCCCTATTGAGGTGTATTTTGGAAGGAAAAGCTTCTTTAAAGTACTTCTGTATTGAGTTGTGTTTTGGAAGGAAGGGAAAAAAATGGATTGCCTGACAGTCTAGGAAAGGCCTTTCAGACAAGGTATAGTGGATAATGGATGCATGGTAGGACAAACCTTAATTCTCCGTTCAACTTTGCTATCGTAGACCTAGCCTAAATAAGGAAGTATTAAATGAATATCTCAGAGTCATTTAGCTCTTGAAAGTAAGACTAATTTGTTCTCAGACACAGATTTCCAATAGTTCACCTAAAAGTAGTTTCTACTGCTTCTCACACAGACTATAACGCACTATTGATTTTTGTAAGCTTTGCAATTTCTGTTTTTTCTGTCTACCATCTCTTTCATGGTCTGGTTTAGAACTTATCTCACCTGCTGGGCATACTTCTGGTGGAAACATTTAATCTGAACTTCAGCCATTTTCCATCTGGGACTCAAAGAAGAATAGGGTTTTTTGATCTCTGTTCATTTATTTACTGGGGAAAAATGTTAACACATTCCAGAAAGAATGAACTGAACCCAAATTATATTGAGATAGCAAAACAGATTTTGATGTGGTACCTACCATGTTGCTGGACTAGTATTCTTTATGGTCCGTGTGAACACATTTGTTCCTTTGCACATTGGCCTGCCATACTTACAAACTGCAGGAAAGAAAATTCAGACATGCTTTTTTTGAGATCAAAACAACATTTAATTTGAAAGGGAAACTTGCAATACAGTCAAAGAAAATCAGAAAACGGACTTCAATATTGATCTAATCTCTGAATGTTGGACTGAAAAACAGCTCTGAAAAAAAATGCCTTAAAACTTTTGCATATAAAAGAAAACAGCATGGAAAATACTTCTGTAGACAATACAAGAGTGAATACATTTATCATATTCTACAGAAAGGTCTCCGTGGAGAGCTGGAAACATAGTAAGTAACCAATATATAAAAGAAAAAAAATGATCAGAAAATGGACAGAAGATGAATAGAACGTAATAGTAAATACAAGGGCATATTTTAACACTTATAAACTAAGAACAAAAATTGCCAAGTGGGTTCACTTTGGTCAAATTCATTCATTCATTTTTGGGGTACTTCCTAATGTTGGCAAAGGTGCAGAGAAAAAAAAATGTTGACACATGTCATCCCTCTTCAGGCTAGTCATGCTGGGAAAGTAATACAGTTTGAATATGTGACCCCACCCAATGCTCATATTGATTTGTAATCCCCAGTATTGGAGGTGGAGCCTTGTGGGAGGTGATTTGATCATGGGGACAGATTTCTCATTAATGGTTTAGCAACGCCTCTTGGTACTGTCCTCGTGATAGCAAGTGAATTCTCACAAGATCTGGTTGTTTGAAAGGGCATAGCACCTCCGCTCACTCTCTTGCCCTGTTCTTGCCATGTGATGTGCCTACTCCTGCTTTGCCTTCTGCCATGAGTAAAAGCCCCCTGAGGCCTCTCCAGAAGCAGATGCCACTATACTTCTTGTATAGCCTGCAGAACTGTGAGTCAATTAAACCTCTTTTCTTACTCAGTCTCAGGTATTTCTTTATAGCAATGCAAGAAGTGACTAATGCAGGAAATAACTGAAATGAGAAAAGGTGTTACATATCCAAATATTTCTTCTTTCTTTTTTTTAAGCAACAGAGTCTCACTCCAGGCTAGAGTACGGTAGCATGGTATAGCTTACTGCAGCCTCGAACTCCTGGGCTCCAACTATCCTCCCTCATCCTTCAGAGTGGCTGGAGCTACAGGTGTGCACTACCATGCCTGGCCAATTTATTATTTTTTGTATAGAAAGGGTCTTGCTATGTTTCCCAGCCTGGTCTTGAAGTCCTGGCTTCAAGCAATCCTCCTACCTTGGCCTCCCAAAGTGCTCGGATTTCAGGCATGAGCCACTGCAGCCAGCCCACTCAAAGATTTCTATAGCATTTTTAAAATAATAAAAAGCTAAAAACAACCTAAATTTAAGGAGTGACGATGGCACATGCAGATATTTAAAAGAGCAGTTGTGAATACCATATATCACAGGAAAAATGCTGAGGATAATACTAAATAAAAATCTGGATACAAAAATAAATGTGCGTCATTATATGTGTGTGGAGGGAATGGGAACAAAGGTGATTTAAATTTTTTTTATTCTATTCAGTGGTAGAAAAGAAAAATTAAAATTTTAAACTTGAATTAAGATTAGTGTCACAAGAAAGCAATTTTCAATAAAATTAATAAAAAGCATTTATAAAACAGTAAGATTAATCAATAACTTTTTCTTGAACTCATACTTTTAATAGTTAGAAAAAGGAACATTTTTCTTCTCTTTTCTTTTCTTTTTTTTTCGAGATGGAGTTTCGCTCTTGTTGCCTAGGCTGGGGTGCAATGGTGCGGTCTCGGCTCACAGCAACCCCCACCTCCTGGGTTCAAGCAATTCTCCTGCCTCAGCCTCCCGAGTAGCTGGAATTACAGGGATGTGCCACCACGCCCAGCTAATTTTTTGTATTTTTAATAGAGACAGGGTTCCTCCATGTTGGTCAGGCTGGTCTTGAACTCCTGACCTCAGGTCATCCACCCGCCTTGGCCTCCCGAAGTGCTGGGATTGCAGGCATGAGCAACTGCATCCGGCCAGGAGCATTTTTGTTAATGGCATAATTGCTTTCAGTTCTCAGACTTCTTTGCAATTGGCATATGTGCCAAATTGCAAATAAACCCAGGTTTTGCTTTGGGTAATGACAACAATGTGAGAATATTGTTTTAGTGGACTGTTAAAATTCCACATATTTCTTAATACTATAATGACCTTGATTCCTTTCTGAAGAAAGCTAGGTGGTACAGATATGGAATATGTAAGAACATTTAACATTGGCTTATGTATTTAAACTGGAGCCATGGGTTTCTAATTTATAAAACAGGAATCAGGCCAGGCATGGTGGCTCACGCCTGTAATCCCAGCACTTTGAGAGGTCAAGATGGGTGGATCAACTGAGGTCAGTAGTTTGAGAGCAGCCTGGCCAACATGGTGTAACCCAGTCTCTACTAAAAATACACAAATCAGCTGGGTGTGGTGGCGGGACCTTTGATCCCAGCTACTTGGGAGGCTAAGGCAGGAGAATCACTTGAACCTGGGAGGCAGAGGGCTAAGACACTTCCTAAAACTTCAATACCTGCCCCTCTTGCCTCTGGATATTCCTCAATAGCCATCGCTGCAGTGTAACCAAAAACAACTATCATTCCCCCTAAATAGATCAAAAAGACAGCAACAGGAGATTGCGCCACTGCACTCCAGCCTGGGTGACAGTGCTAGATTCTGCCTCAAAAAAAGGCGGGGGCAAAAAAAAAGGGGGGGGGGCAATGAAAAGATTAAAATCTTTAAGAATTAAAAGATTATTTTAAGAATTAAATGAGATACAACTAGCTCCATTAATATAAAGGTATTTGTTTTCCTATTTTAAGTAGTTAGGGACAAAATCAGAAAAGTATATGATAAAACTCCCTGCTCTGAGAAGCAAGTGATCCGGTTCTTATTTCATGCCTGTGAATTTTCTAAATGTGTGCCTCCTGGATATTTATCCTCTTTCAATATCAGTTGTCTAATCTACAAAATGGAGTTGGTCTGGATGACTTATTGATGTCTAACTTTATTACTCCCCATGAGGGAGAATTTGTACAATCACATGCATAATTAAAATTTTTTCCACATTTCACCTTAATAGATCCTTTACATAAAAATTTTACTACTTACTAGACATATTTGTCTCTAATCAAGATTTTCCCAATTTTCATGTTTATGACTGGAACAAAGTCTTTAAAACACCAGATATCTAGTTAAAAATTGAAAAACCACCACTGCCTATATATACTTTAGCTTTTATTTGATTATTGGATATGAGATTGCATAACAGGATTGATTTGAACTAAAAACAGAGGAGAAAACTAAAAGGAAAGCAAAACCCATTTTTGCAAGAGAGAGTCATCAAACTGGAGTAGTAAATACCAAGCTCCACTTGAAAGTCAGCCTCTCTCTTCTTATTGGGAAAAACAACAATTTGCAGAGGGGATGAAATGTAAAGGGAATACAGAAAGGAGATGAAGTCCATCTAAAGAGAACAGCAGAGTTTATTTATAACCAAAGAGGCTGGACTCAATGAGATGCCGGCATCACGGAAGTAAAGAAGAGCGGGGAGCACCATCAAAGCTGTGCTGGTGACATGAGTGGCTGGTAAATGCATCTTTAAGTCAGAGTTCCACAAAGGAAGTTGTGTGTTACAAGTCAGAGTATAGATTTAAAACCCACAGAAGCTTTAAGAACACTCTCCATGGTGCGAATGTTGGTGAGAATGTGATTATAAAACAGGACTGAAGAAAATGTGCAGACTGGAATGAAAGAAAGGAAGATTCTGTGCATTTTTTTTAACACATCCGAGCCTGTTTGATTATCCGGATCACTGGTATCAGCAGTCTTGTAGTAGACACGTCACTGGCAAGTTCTTCTAGAGTGCACCATATTATGCTTTGATGGTTTCCTTTTTTATAGCAGATATTACCTAATTAGGAAAATATATTTTATTGCATATTTTATTTTACTGTAAAAGTCAAAGTTTTTTCGGGAAATGAACATAGTGTCTTTCCAAGGTGCTTAGCTAAATGAGAATTTCGAAGAGTGGCAATTGGCAAAATCCTCCCTTTTCCTGTGAATAATTGGAGAAAAGAAAAATAATGAAATAATCTACTTGAAAAAAATCCTGTTTATGTAGATTAAATCTTCCATATTCGAAGTTGTAAAACTGTTCAGTGCATTTTATACAAGTATCAACCTACATAGGAATGGCTTGTATATTTGAACTTGTATATTCATTTCATTTCATTATCTACTATGCATCAGCATTGTGCTGGGTATTAACAGATTCAAGATGGCTCTACTAATACAGTACTATTCATCTCTTCATTTCAGTTTTGAACCCATTAAGAAATAAGACAAAAACAGAAAGGCAGGTGGAGACCAAAATATCAGCTTAGCTGCTAATAAAGCTGGTTTTGGAGAATGTAGTCTAATATTTGCAGGCAAGTGGTTTTCCTAATAACAAACCCTAGAATTAAACGGATACCCGCCCTGCTGCAGGCAGTGCCAAAATGCTGTAAGCCTCCGTGCCAGGGTTTTGGATAGAAACTCGGTTTTGTAGATCTGGTGTGAACAACTGAATCCCAAGGAGAAGTAAAGAAAAGGGGCTACATAACACATGTCCTCTGTCTCTACTTAAAATCACCCATCAGCTGCTGTCATTCTTCCTGATCAAAGGAAGAGTGATTGAAAGAGTTCAGAGAGGCCTCAGGGACTATACCAGTGGGGCTCCCTTCTATGGAAGCAAACAGGAAAAAGCCTTCCCCCCGAAATGGAGAGTATTTTCTCCACCTACAGATACTCCAGGCTCTGAAGGAAATAGACAGCTCTTCTCCTTCTTCCCCACCAGTTGTTGGGGTTTGCTTTCTTCCAATTATTTTGCCTGTACAGTGGCCACCAGTCCCTAATAGACATATCCCAGGAGACTTCTTAAGGGATTTCCCTTAAGAAATCCCTCCAAGGCACCCTGCTCACTCCATAGACCACCCATCCCCATAAAGGCTGTCAATGAGTAGTTCTCCTAAGACACACCAAATGTAGACCACAAGCTTTTCACAGAGATACTAATAAAGCAACATTAATAACATAGGGAGGCTGAGGAGGGAGGAGTGCTTGAGGCCAGGGGTTTGAGACCAGCCTGGGCAATATAGCAAGACCCTGCCTCTACAAAATAATTCTTTTTAATTAGCTGAGCATGATGGCACATGTCTGTAGTCCCAGCTACTCAGGACACTGAGGGAGGAAGATCAGTTGAGCCCGGAAGTTCAGGGTTGCCATGAGCTATGATCATGCCACTGCACTCCAGAGCAAGACTCTGTCTCTAACAAAATAATAAAAATAAAACAAAATAAACATTGCAGAGAGGGGAAGGAACAAGGATTTGGTAGGTAGAGTCTGAGGCGTCTGTCCAGCTGTGCAAAAGTTTCCTCCAGGCTGATGGGCCGTGCCGGTACACCTGCCATACTTGGTCATATGCTGAGATCAACCCCAGGGTAGTAAGACCTTAAAACAAACATAATGTCACCTAGAGGGCAGCAGTGGGGGCTGATAATCAACTATGACCTCTCCCCCAACCCCTGTATCGAGAGACCAAGGTGTTGCATTTCTGTGGCTGCCATAATAATATAGTAATTATGAATTTTTTCCCTTCTTAAAAAGGTTCATTCAGCATGGATTTTGTTGTTGTTGTTTTTTCACGTTATATATTGGTAGAAAAGTATCTCAGCCTTTTTATCTACAAATATCTTTGTTTCAACTTCATGCTTTAAATACATTCACTCTGTAACAATACTGTGTTGACAGATGTTGCTTCCCAGTACTTTGAAAATGTTATTGCATGGTTATCTAGCTTTCATTTTATAGCATAAAGTCAGTTTTCAGTCTAATTCTCTGTTTTAATGTAAATTATTTTCTCATTGCTGTTAAGATTGTTGTTTTTGATGTTCTGCAATTTCACTGCAATGTGCCTAGGTATAAGTTTGATTTATTTATACTCACTGAGATTTACTGGTATTACTGAATCTGGGCGTTCATTTCTCCTACCAATTCAGGGTACGGTTTTGTTTTGTTTTTCTTTTGCCCACATTTGTTAGCTCTTTCTGGAACTCACACTTGACTTATATTCAACTTTATTCCTCCAGTTGTTGGGAGGTACCCAGGGATAGTTTTTCCTCATTCACAGGAAGAGCTGATTAAAAATTTGGTATTTCTGAAGATATCCTACATTGCCTAGGGAATTATTGAAGATGTAGTTTTTCATGCCAGAAATGTTTGAGAAGAGTTGGGGCATACTTGAAGATTATTTTCTTGCTAATATTCAAACATGATAAAGACGGATTTATAAGATGATCTTTAAGCTCCTTTGGATCTCAAAATTGTGTTATTATGTTAATAAAATAATGTTCAAATAATTTTACTTCTACAGCCTCAAGTGTTGCTAAATATAGGACTTTAACCTAAATCCCATAGCAATATGTGTAAAAAGGGCCTATCTTGCCATTATTTCAAGAATGCTAAAGTTAATTTAAAATGTTCTGGACAGGTGACCCTGATGTTTGCTTAGCATGGATTATTGGTGACATGAATAGTACAGTTACGTGTCAAAATTGTTTTAGATTATTTCAGAGTTCTTGTGAAGCTTTAATCAATTTAGAAGACAGTGTTAAAGAAGTAAAACTTCCTTTTTTGGCTATAGATCCCATTTATTGTTCTGTAGTTGTTTTTTAATTCTTGCCTATAAGGACTTGTGTTGTCCTTGAAAAAAAGACACCAAAGACCAAGGTGAGAAAAGAGACAATGGAATGATTGAGAGGAACTATTTAATAGCAGTTAGGAAGAACAGTGCTTCTCTTGTTTGTCCAAATGCTTGTCTTCTGAAAGTGTTTCTGTGGCCATTGCCCCATGCTTCCTGTATTTTTTAGGTTCCTAATATAATTCACATCAACCTATATTTCCCCATACTATTAAGCTGTCTTTATTGTCACTTTCTTCTAAATCCCTTACAAAAAGTAAGTAAATAAGTATTTAAAACAATACCTGGAGCACAGTGTGTCTAATAAATATTACTCTTCCACTTTAATGGAGCTGTAACACTGTCATCAGAGTCTGTGTGCATTGCACCTCCATGGTTATGTAGTCTACAGGCCATGTGGCCACACATCGTGGTCCTGCTCTTTAGTGTATCTGGCGAAAGTTATCATATTTTCTTAACGAGATGAGAAAAACATTCTCCTTGCATGGGTGGCAAAGAAACCCAAAAACTATTAAAACTACTCTGAACCAACTCCCAGTTACATTAATTATTTATATGCATTCATTCAAATCAGGTAAGATATTTACTGATATATGTGTGTGTGTGGTAATTTATACTTTTTGAAAAGTTAAAGCAATGACTCTCATGCAAATATAAAATAAACACATCAGCCATTTTATTCAACTCAGGAATTAAAGAGTGAACCAATATAAGATTGTAAAGACTGATTCAGAACAGAATCTGAAGAACATATATACACACAAGTATATACATACACAAATACATATGCTAAAACAAATATTAATACTAAACTGGTTCATATTTCTTAGAGCAATAAAGTGTGGTGTTTATGATTATCTTTTATACTTGGCAGAAATTACTTGTATGTACACTGATCAAAATTTATGAACATCACTATGGACAAATATTCACATACTAATAGTTCTCTACAATTAATTTCTAAGCCATAACTTATAAAATAGCCTACAAATAGAAAATCAATTAAAAATGCACCCCCATATAGTGGGAGATCGTTTCTGGAGGGGTTCCTAGACAACATCCACTAAAAGCTTTTGCTCATTTCCATGTGTCAACTCAGAGAACTACAGCATGTATCAGGAATATGAAAAATGTGAATATGGTGGAAGACCCATGAATCTTATTGTCCTGGAGCTGTTTTCTCTGACTTTATAAATGAATGCTGGGTCTGTTTTGTTACTTATTTATATAATTATATTTATCTTGGGGCTAAGTATAGTATTTAGTCTTGAGAGACAATATTTTTCTTATATAGTCTTTCTACCTTAATAGTTCCTGTGTCTTTGTGTGTGTCTGTGTGAGAATATATGTATCTTTAACATATTGCATAGAAAAAATTGAGATGTAAGCTCAAAAAAAAAAAGTAAAAAGTCTTTTCGCCAAGCCTAATGTAACTCCAAATAAACATATTATCTGCTATTCCCATCTGCTGCGATAGTTCGTTTGATGATTTCAGTGAATATGGTCTCATAACTGAGGAATTTTTCTTTCAGGAAGCTAAGGAGTAAATACATTTGCAAAATTTCCCCATCGTTTTAAACATGATTCATGCTAGTATATTTACCAGTTGAGCTTGAATTTGTTCTAAGCTGCCTAAAAATGATGATTTTTTTTAAGGATGAGATATGTTCTGTGTTTTCTTCCTATCATGTTCTCCATCTTTGATCATTTTCCAAATCATTGATTGACTCATGTGTATTAATAGGCAGAGAGTCACTGTAGCCTGAAATGTATGTGTTACTTCTCTCCTACTTCCTGTTGCTTGCAGGAGACATCAGTAAACCAACTGTCTTAGTCTATTTGGGCCACTATAACGAAAGACCTTAGACTGGGTAATTTAAAAACAATAGAAATGTATTGCTCACAGTTCCAGAGGCTGGGGAGTCCAAAATCAAGTTGCTGGCAGGTTCAGTGTCTCATGAGGCCCTTCATCCTTAGAGATGGTGCCTGTGTATCCTCACTTGGTGGAGGGGAAAGAATTAATAAGTTCCCTTAAGCCCCTTCCATAAAGACATTAATCCTTCTAATCCTTCATGGCCTAATCACCTCCCAAAGGGCCCAACTTCTAACCCCATCACCTTGGTGATTAAATTTCTTTATATGGATTTGGAGGGGGACACACACATTCAGACCATGGCACCAACTAACTTTCCTGCGATGCACTCTCTTCCTTGTATGTACACCTAAAGTAGACTAGTCATCACTTTGTGTTGTGCTGCCAGATAGAAGTAAGTAAATTCACAAGACTAGGGTTTGGGCTGATGGAAAGGGTCTCTGTTAGGTTCCAGCAAGCTGTATTCCCTAACAGCGTTTTACCAGGGCTCTAATCTTGAGGAATTAGACACTGGCCTAGCTATTAATATTGTGGTTGCTTTCTGTCCCATCAGTGTTATTATGCTTGTTTAGGTACTGAGTTCCTTTGGGATGTCTGTGTAGAGAAGAAGTGATTGGTAACTTCATGCATACACCTAATAGGTGTCACTATTGATTCTTTCTGCACAATACATCTGTTGGCTAATATTTGCTGGAGATGGCTGGACTTTCACATCAAAGCTGTTTGTGTGACATAAAAAGAAGATGAGCTTGCTTTTCATTAAAAAGAATAAGAATGGAATAGAGGTTTTCACAGAACCTTTTTCTCAAAGATGCCAAAATACCATCAAAATGAATACTTAGAATAGAAGACAAAAGAAAAGAAGAGAAAGCAAAAGAAAAGGTTTACATTGTCTGTCAGGGCCTCTGGCCCTCTGTGAGAGGCAGAATGTTGCTGTGATGCAGGTTTAGATTGAAAAATCATATACCTGGATTCATAACCTTCCACCACTTCCTGGCTAGGCAACCTTGGACAAATTATATATTAACTCCCAAGTTTCCTCATCTGAGAAATGGAAATAATAATGATTGCTGACAAGCTAGGTAATCTACTATATCTAAAATATACGGTGACATGATTTTATATTCTCATCTTTAATTTTCACAGTGATCCTATGAAAATCACTCAGCATTTCAATGACAAAAAGTGATCAATTAGAAAGATCACATCTAAATTACTAACACTTTGCTTCTGACTGTCATACAGGATGTAAATCTGTGTCTGCATTTCAGATTTATTACAAACAAAATGAAATATGTGGCCTAATTTGGAAATGATCAAGGGTTAGCAAATATTGGTCTCTAAACATTCAATTTATTATTTTTTTCTCATCAAGATAGAGCTAACAGTATGGCAAAGAGAAGTAACGTAGTAAATAACGTTCTCTACGTTCAAGGAAGACAGACAAGAAGAGAAATTCCATTTGGAGCAAAGTTAAATTCCATTTATAAAGTCTTCCTTAGTATAGTGGCCACTACCTACCTTTTCCAAATGACTGTCATTATTTCTGACATATCTCCATTTTCTTGGCAAATAGCACTATTTGCTTTTTTCCACATGTGACCTATTATTTCTTGTCTTTGTGATAGGTATTGTGATGCTGCCTCAACCCTAGCAAAATGTTTCTATTATCCCTGATTTATTATAATTATTCTTTCAGGTCAGCCAGAATGCAAACAACATTTCCAAGAATCCTTGACTGAATCTTCCAAACAGGTACAATCTCTTCCTCCTCTAAACAGACCTCAGCCTTGATCTGCTTGCCTGTTTTGGCACTCACTTTATATTTTCATGGTCAAAAGAAGAACTTGCCAGTTAGAGATTAAGCTGTGTCTGAGTACGTTATTTAGTGGACACATTTGGGAAATTGCTGAGTCCATTAAGCCCACAACTACTTAAATCTCACACTACAGATCTTCCAAGGAGACAATCTCTTCTAAAACAAAAGGGTGCCGAACATGATAAAGCTGTATTTTACAGGAGCATGGTGAATATTGCTTGATGTCTTTCATTTGAATTTGGTGTTGGATATGTCTGTGCCTAGGATGTTGAAGACAAAAGGGTGGAGGAAATGTTGTAGGTTAAAATGGGAAGATGTTTTGCTAAAACACTGTAAGAAGTTGGAATATAAACAATATGCTTTGGTATCATAATCACAGTGCATTGCACAAAGAGAAAAGTGGCATTTTCCATCGTTGTACTTTATAACTTTGATGTGTTGCAAGCTATAGTGCATCCGTGGTGGTACCTGGCAGGAATATAAGAATCAGCAGTAGTGCCCCTTTGACATTGACAGTGGTGACTGAAGAATGTGAGTATGCCTACTGGAAAAAGGTGTGGAGCCCCATGACAGCTTTGAGCCTAAAGAATGCGCTGGGATCCAGTGAAATTGGCAGGGATCCCCCAAAACCCACATTACCTGGAGGAAGTAATAGTGACAACAGAGGGAATGGCAGAGCAGATGGCAGTGCCCAGCATCTATTGCATGTGGGAAAATTCCTGGTCAATCTTGAAAATATTTGATGGTGAATAATTCTACAGTAGGTCAAGATACTAACCTAGAAAATAAAGGTCAATGCTAGTAAAATATGGCTTATACCATTTAACATTAGTACGTTCTATACATTTCCTGTCTTTGCTACTATGATACGACTGTTAAGAAAGCTATACAGAGAATTGGTCCCCATAGTTGCTAACCTAGTATCATGTATGCAGGAAGCTAAATAAAAATTTAAGATGTGAATTAATGAAAATGGAACAGTATGTAAGTACCAGGATTCATGATTTTTGGATCCCTACTGTATGCCTGGCAACAAAGGTGCATTGGTTATTTCTTTATTTATTGTGTACAAAATACATATGGGAAACCATGTTGGCACTAAGAGACACTATAAATGAAGATAGTTGATGATATGGTTTGGCTGTGTCCTCACCCAAATCTCATTTTGAAATGTAGCTCCCACAATTCCCACGTGTTGTGGGAGGGGCCTGGTGGGAGGTAATTGAATCATAGGGGCGGGTCTTTCCCATGCTGTTCTCATGATAGTGAATAAGTCTCATGAGATCTGATGGTTTTATAAGAGGGAGTTTTTCTGCACAAGCTCTCTCTTTGCCTGCTGCCATCCATGTAAGACATGACTCACTTCTCCTTGCCTTCTGCCATGATTGTGAGGCCTCCCCAGCCATGTGGAACTGTGAGTCTTTTAAACCTTTTTCCTGCATAAATTACCCAGTCTTGAGCGTGTCTTTATTAGTAGCAAGAAAATGGACTAATACAGTTGACCATGTGAAAACAATGCAATCTGCCCAACAAGAAGATAGGCCTAACAGGTCATCAGGAATCAGGCAAAGTAGGTATCTAACCCTGTTTTACATCCACAGCATTGTTGTTGGCCCTAAGTTTTACCCAATTTGTCAGTATATCAGAGATGTAGGGTATAGTAATTCATATTTTGGCAAGAAATAAGGCACAAATAGTTTAAAAACTGGTTCACATTTTCCTTTCTTTTCTTTCTTTTTTTTGTTGAAACAGCGTCTCCCTCTGTCATCCAGGCTGGTGTGCAGTGCCACAATCTCGGCTCACTGCACCCTCCACCTCACATATTCAAGTGATTCTCTTGCCTCAGCCTCCCAAGTAGCTGGAACTACAGGCATGTGCCACCATGCCTGGCTAATTTTTGTATTTTTAGTAAAGACAAGGTTTTGCCATGTTGGCTAGGCTGGTCTTGAACTCCTGGTCTCAATTGATTCACCAACCTCGGCCTCCCAAAAGGCTGAGGTTACAGCCATGAGCCACCACACCCAGCCTGTTTTATTATTAACAGTGTATGAAACATTCATGATATATGGCTTCTTTTGAGAAGTGATCCTGTAGCCAAATGCAAAAAATATTGCTTTATATTCCATTTTCTTGGAGGTTCACAAAACATAAGCATATTAAAGACCCCAATATCAGTTACAGTGAATAATCCTAATGAAATTAATCAACAATGTCAAAGTTACTTGAGTAAAGACTTACTTTTAAAAAAAAAATACGCTGATATTCTGCTGAAATGGATTTGGGAAATGCTGATTTAAAATATATATTAATTTGATGAACATGAATTAAAAATTAATTATTAAAATTCAAGGATTACTTTTATTAATTTTTTCCATTTCTTATTTGGCTTTTAACCAAAATTTATAACAATACCCAATAATTTTTTACTTCTTAGAAAGTTTAAGTGTGTATGGTTAATTATCCCAAGTAATAACAAACTTTGCCTTCATGACCCTGAAAAAAACTCAACTAGCATTTATACCTTGATATAGACATGTTAAGTCAAGAATTACAAATTCATGTGAACAGACTGAATTGTTCAATAAATCAATCAAAAAATTAAATAATTTGAAAAACAAGGTATTCGCGTTCTTACGTTAATACATAGAAAAATTTAGTATTGTGTATTTTAGTTAAAATGCCAATATAAAATGAAGCCATCAAACTTTGAAGAAAATAGTGGAAAATATTTAATGTATAATTATACACCATATATGAACAATGAATATACATATGAGTATGAATGAATATATGTATAAATTTATACATATATTTTATGTATGTATTTTACATATATATTTTATATATGTAAAAATTTATACATTTTTTATATATTATAATTTTTTTGAGATAGGGTCTCACTGTATCACCCAGGCTAGAGAGCAGAGTGCAGTGGAGTGATAATAGCTCACTACAGCCTCAACCACCAAGGTTCAAGTGATCCTCCTGCCTCAGCTCCCCGAGAAGCTGGGACCAGAGGTGCATGCTACCATGCTTGGCTAATTTTTTTTTAATTTTTTTGTGAAGATGGCATTTGACTATGTTGCCCCCGCTGGGCTCAAACTCCTGGCCTCAAGCAGTCCTCCCACCTTGGCTTCCCAAAGTGCTGGGATTACCGGTGTGAGCCACCATACCCAGCCATGAATATTATTTTTTAAAGTCAGTATATCTGACCATACTGGTATAAAAGTATCTGTACCTTGGAACATTCATAAAAAATGATTAAAAAGCAAATAGCAAGTTGAGAAAGATGCCACATGTGTGAAGGACTCAACCTATCATTGCTGACTTTGAAGGTCTAGGAACAGGGCATGAGCCAAGGAACGGTCTCTGAAAGCCGGAAAAGAGAAGGAAAAGAGTTTTATGCTGGATCCACCAAAAGCAATACAGCTCTTCAACACCTTTAGCCCAGTGAGATCTGTTGGGAACTTGTGTTGTATAAACTTGTAAGATAATCACCTGTGTTGCTTTTAGGACTAAATTTTTGATAGTTTATCATAGTACCAGTAAAAAAAACTGAAATATCAAGCATAATTAAATGTATTCTAAGACTTAGATCTCATCCTAATACTTCCAAAGGTGGAAATTTATTCTAAAGAAAAAGGAGTAAGGAAAAGTAAGAGTCCTCTCATGTCTCTGACATAAAGTTTGAGGTTCTCTGAGTTCTGGATGCAGCTAGAGACCATGTCGTTCTACCTGCAGGGTGTCTCTTAATAATGATAATTTATTTCAAAAAAGGGATCATTCACTGGGAAGATGACTATGAGGGTGAACTGAGAAACAGATCTACTCTCTGGATAGTCAAAATCATTGTAATTCTATTTAAATACTAAATTAAGGCATTATTTTCTGTATAGTTGTCTTTTAATTGCACCTTTTGGGATACCTCAGCAGGAGAGACATAATTATAAGATGTAATATGAGCTGTTTTGTTTTCCTTTCTATTTATTCACTGACTAAAAATGGTTGAAAATTGTCCTCTTCTTTTTCTGATATAGTATTCAGATAGTCTCATTTGAATAAGACTGCAAAAGTGTTCCTGAGCAATTACTTTGCTCACATATTGAAACCACAGCCCTCATTAAAATATAATCATCAAATTCTATTTTATACAATAATGGAAACACGATGCATTTAATTCTGTAAGAAAGAAAGAGATATTTATGGAAGAAAACCTGCATCTTTAGGAGAAAATTAAGTATTCCTTCTAAATCTAAGAATGGCAATGCTCTAAAAACTATCCAAGTCTATAAAAAGTTTAAATTGACCAGATTGAGAATGACTCATATTTAATTTGAAAGCAATATACCTATTTGCCCGCATAATATACATAGGAATAGGGACTCAGGAAAAAAAACATGTTTTTGAACATCATTGATGAAGGTAATATATAATAAATGGACCTATTTTATTTGCTGATGTTCACTAATACAGCTCATTGCTTGCCTACTTCACATGAAAAGCTAGATGATCTTACAGAACTTGTAGCACTATGACGAAAGATGCCAAACAGATACCTAAGCATTCCCACATTCTTCTTGTCAAAATAATAGAATCCTTCTGTTGCTTAAGACAATAGATGACTTCATAAACATGTAACTAACTATATTTAGTCAAATTTAACATTTTGAACTGAAGACTTCACTTTAGTAAATACCAACAAATATGCACATTTGTTTGTGTATAAATATGTGTATATATATGTATATGTATGTATAAGCAGACCGCCACACCACGTCACTTGCACACATAAATTCTGCAATTAAGGTCATTTCTAATCAGGATGTTTTTAAGCCGAAATTTATTCTAGTCATTAAAACTATATAATTAGATCTTAAGATTATATAGTTAAACATCTTCATCTTATAAATCACCCAAAAATATTAAGAACCCAAACTGTAGACAAACCAGAGCTAAAATTCAGGTGTCCAGGGGCTTTCATGTTTTTTTTTCCTTTGATTTAATATACATGAATTTTACAAGAATGTACAAATTTTAGATTTTTTTAATATGAATAAATCTGTCTCAAAATCTTTCATTTATGAAAGGATGCCTGTATAGCTAATTATTATATATATCTTATATATCTAATGATACATACAAATATTTATCTCATATATAAGATATTTACCAAATATATATCATATATATGATGTGTATATATGCTTAAATATATTAACATATATACATATTTATAATATATAAATATATATATATTAAGATATATACATATTTTAGATATATAAAGACTAAAGGTCTGCAAATTCATGTTTAACTTACCTGGCTTAGATGATCAATACATTCATTCAAATATTTCCTAGTTATATATAACACAGTGTATTCATGTACTGAATTAGTTTGCTCTTCTATGTTAACTTTCTTCTACTTTTTTTTCTCCAGCCACATAAAATAAATGAATTTACAATGAAATAAATGGGAGATTTTGTGCAAATGATTTAGAAAACTAAATGTTTCCTACTACTTTATCTGTGTCAATACTTTATCTGTGTCAAGAATCTCAAACTTATTTCACCTAAGGCAGATAAAAATTGAATATATTATAGTATGCTTTAATAATATTTAATGATTTTATTAAATATTTTTGGTTTTGTTTCCTGATATGCTACATGATGGTAGGGTAAGTTAAGCACTGTGAGCAGACACAGAAACAGTATGCTTTTCTTTGCCTTTCCCAACATTTTTCTTCTGAAGTTTCTGTTCCCTTCTTTGGTTTCTACACCTAGTCTCTTGATGCATGTTCCTGTCCATCAAACACCACTGTAGATGTATGTAAGTACATATAGATATCTCGTTAAATGGATTGTTCAGTGAGGTTATCGCTGTCTACCCCAAATGGCTGCAAGTTAAAAATCAAATCTTTGATTTAATAATGTCATTGTTTATTTTCCCCCTTAGCATTAATTGATTATACATGTACATACAATGCATTCTTTTGAATTGTATACTTTAAAAATATATACAAGTCATACAAAGACCACCTGTTTATTCATATTCTTCACCCTATTGAAACCATGGCCCACAGAAGAATGTTGTAGAAAGAAAAAGACAAATGGCATCAAGAGATCTCAACATGGTTCATAGACTTCTTGGCATTTTTTCAACACAAATACTCTACAATAATATTCCTTGATCATTCCACTTCTATCCATTTCCCTCACTCTCGCACCACTGTTCTTGCCTTCACAAACTCTCCCCATCTCTTACATCATTCAACTTCTAGAACATTTATGAAACCTGTGCTATATATGTGTCAAGCCCTGGAGAAAGAATTCTGAACCAGAGATTTGGGCCCCATGGAGCTTTTATTCTGGTGAGAGAGTATGATGATATACGTGTAAGTAAATAACCTAATAAAAATAAAGGAAGATAAAGGATTAGAGAGCAACTAGTGAGTCAAGTGACTTCTGGGACCCGAAGGGACAGGGGACCAAGAAATGTCTGGCACTCTTGGAGTCCAAACAAAGAGAACTAGTGAGAAACCCTCCCTCCTTTGCAGAGAAATGACTTCCCTGGCCTTAAAAATGCCAAGAAGAAGCTGGAGAGATTAAGTGTCAAGCAGTTTTCCCCTAAAGCTGGAAGTATAAGGAAATCCACACTCCTTGTGACTTACCATGGGGACCTTTGCAGGGCATGGCAAAACATTTCTTCCTATACTCTCAGTCTATGGGTACAGCCAGCCTTGACTTCTACCACTTTTGAGACTCCTCCATTTGGCCTGAACCTCAACATTCCCAGAAGGAAAATAACAACCTATCTAAAAGCTACCTACATTCAAAGAGTGACCAGAAAAATCAGAATGCATATCCAGAGAAGTAAACCCACTGAGGGATATAGAGAATTCAATTAAAAATAATAAACATTTTAGAGGAGAATCAAGTGTGGCTCATACCCAGATAAAGAATATGTGGTGATTAACAACACGATTTCTCAACCAAACAATTCTGTGAATGATTTGAAGGAGAGGATGTTTACTACTCATGTGTGTGTCCTAGAAGATCAAGAACAACAACAAAAAAAATCACAAAGCACAGAAAAACAATTACAAAGAAATACAAACAATAAGGGGGGGAAAATGAATCTTGGAGGATATAACAGGAGATAGTAAAAGATGTACCAGTAAGAGAAAAAGACAGATGGAGGATTGCCAATGAAAATAAAATAATAGAATTTATTTTTTTCTCAATGAAAAAGCTCATATCCCAGATTAAATGGTTTCTGTGAGGTCCAGGTCAGACTGATAAGAAATAACATAGACACCTAGGACATTCTGTAAACCTCCTGAATTCTAAGGAAGGGGAAAAATATGACAAGATTCAAGGTAGAAAAAGCAAAGGAAAAAAAAAAAGTCAGAATCCTCATCTGAAACAGTGGAAGCCTGAAGACAGTGAAAGAGCAGCTACCAACCACTGTGAGGAAAATGGTGCAGTTTATGAATTGTAGACCCAGCTAAGATTCTATTACATCTCAAGGTTAAAGAAAAATACAACAGCACTCCATCCAAGTATTCTGTCTAAAAGAAAAAGTAGTGAAGTGTCTTAACTAAGCAAACTGGAATAGCAACCTAAAGGTGACAGAAAAGAAAGAAAAGATCAATTGGAGATTAATTAACAAATCTTTACATGTAGATAGAGTTATAGATACATTGGGGGGGTTGTGTATGTGTTAGTGTCTGTGTGAATACTAAGACAAGTGTAATATAGTTTTTTTTTTATTCTTCTCTTTAATTTTGTCTTGACCCAGTTTTGAGACCCTGACTAGTGACTGTCAGTTCCCCTTCCTGGGCAGCTGATTAAATCCACACTCCACTCACTCCCCTTATCCAGTTCTCACATTCTGGGCCACCAAGCACCTGCCCTAATTTCCCTGGTCCCAGTTACTACACAGCTAGAGAGAGTGCCTATGCCCTGAAGCTCAGAGCCCTGGAAATTATTCAAATTAGCCAGTCCACAAAGATGCAGAGAAACCTAGGGAACCCCATACTACCTGCCATACATCAGCAGCCCCCACAGTAGCTCCAGTTTGCTGTTCCCTGTTTCCTGGTGCTGTTCCCTGTGTGACTCTCTCATGAGGATGAAAGTAACAGAGTTGCTTTCTTCTGAGTGTCACTGTGTTGTATCCACCATTAAAAGAATCCTTAAAGCTCATCAAAGTGTGAAAGTACAATATATTTCTAAATAAGAAATCATTAAAGGAAAACACATGCACTCTTAAGGAAATCCTGATAATATCCTTTAGTTAAAACTACTAAGTTACTTCCAAGAAATCTTAGATTCAAGCACGGTGGAGTAGAGTTGGAGACTTTTGAAAGCAGTTGTTTGCAAGGGTGAGGGGAAATCATGAGTTCTATTTTAGGTATATAAATTGCAATTACTTATTGGACATCATACTAGATCTATTTATTAAGCAGGTGGATTTTTTAGTCTGGAGCTAAGACATCATGAAGTCATCTGGGTTATCAGTGTGAATCACATGTTAAGGAACTGTAAAACCTGAGGAGATTACCTGGAGATGCCACGTGGAAGAATAAACCCTGGGCATGCCAACATTTAAAGGTCGGAAAGGAGGGAGCTCCAATAAATCTGAGGAATAGAATCTTTGATTCTATTGGAGGATTCTGGAGAGGTAGGTGCAAAACATGGAGAGTGTGGTATCCTTGGAGCCACATTAAGAAAGCATTTCAAGAATGAGAGAAAGAAATTAACTGTGCCAAATGCTGCAGAAAGTTAAGTATGATCAATACTAGGAACTGGCATTGCCTTTGGAAAATTGGAGGGCTTGAGTGACATTGGCTGAAGTAGTTTCAGCATGCTTGGAAAAGTTTCTAGAAAGAATGGAAGGGGGAAGTGTAGAGACAGCAAATAAAGAACATTATCAAAGGTTTTTCTGTAAAAGGGAGGTGTGAAATCAGGCAGCAGAGAGTTGAAAATGTGGGATCTAACAGATGTTTTGTTTTAAAATGAAAGATAATTCATCTTATTCCAATTTAAATGATCGTAAAGTGGAGGGAAATGTTGAGGTGGGGAGAGGTAAAGAAGCGGGAGAAGAGAGGGGGAGAGAATTTTTGTAGGAATAAAATCCTTAGGTAGGAAATAACAAATGATATTCTATACATAAACGAAGGGATTAATGTAGAGAGGATCAGAAGAGTTCATTATTATAACCAAAAGAAGGGTAAATTATTTGGGTCTATACACAAATAGGAAGGTTTGGTAGAGGAAGGATGAGTATGTTTTTTTTCTGATTGTTTCAAGTTTTAAATAAAATAAGCATATTCATCAGCTGAGAATGAGGATATGAAAGGAATGTTGATGACTAGAAAACGGGGAGAGGGTCTGAAAGTGGAAGTGTTTACTAACTAGGGAAGTCAATGATTGAAGGGCAGTGTTAAGGCACAAGTGGAGATTAGTTATAAACACTTAAAATAAGGTAGGTAAACATGACTATATTTTTCTTTGTTCACAGTTGCATTTTAGGGAGTATGTGCACAGATTGGATTCATTACAGTTGAGTTTGGTCAAACCAGTACCATGGAGAGATTTTAAGGAACGAAGGGTGATGGATCATGGAATCTAAACCAGGAAAGGTGGAATTTGAGGGCATTTCTCAATCCTGCCCTCAGGAATTTTTGTCTTTGTATTGCTCCTCCATACCCCCCAGCTTCTTCAAATTCTAGCTCACAAGAGTTTAAAATACTGACAACTTTTTCTGTGAAAGGTAGGAAACAATAGGAAATAGGACCAGACAAAGCCATAACTCTTTGAGCAGGCAGAATGAGGAGGAAGCCTGGAACTGTGTGATTATCTTAATAATTTCTGTACCTGATTTGTTGTATTCTTCTTATTTAAGCTTTGTTGGGGCTCAGAAAATAATATTCCAAAATATGACACTTTGGCATTCTTCTTGCTTTGAATTAAAGGAAGTTGAAAGGCCTCAAAAATAAGTCTCAGAACTAAGGTCTCTCTCTAACCTTCTCCTGCACTCCTGCCCCTCTGATCCTCTTTCTTTCCTGAGCACTAAGAGGAAATTTCCTTATCTAATGAAGGAAAGTTCCAACATTAGAAATGCAATTGTCTTAATAGTCCCTTCTTAGGAACTTCATCTAATAACCAGAAAAGACTAATCACTAAAAATCGTCAGTACACCCAGACGACCTTTCATTTATTATCCTGAGCGTAGCTCCTAGAGATTACTTGGAAGATTATCGGCATTATAAGACAACCTTGCTCACGGTGAAGTTCCGCCCCACACCTTCTTGCAGTTTGCCACCATCTCCCCCAGAGCTCAGAGGAAACTTGTCCCAAGCCAACTGTCTGTTCTTTGGGCTATTTAAGTTCCCCTAAAATTATTTACAATCCTTCAAATTGGCTATATTTCTGCCATCTTCCTCTCCCTCATGAAGAGGGCATATAAGCCTCAACCATCTAGCTTTGCTCTGAGTCTCATATTTTATATAGTTTCTATGCTTATGAATGTTAATAAATTTGTATACCCTTTCTCCTCTTAATCTGTCAATTGTCATTCATTTCAGTGAAACTTCAGAGAGGGTAGATGAGAGGCTTTCCCTCCATCTCTATAGTTCTATGATTTCTTGTACATTTTACCCGTGTGCAAATGAAAGTAAAATGCTATAGTGTTTTACATAGCAAGCTAAGCGTCATTGGTAAATGTTACTAATCATGGGGTATAGAACTTAAATAGTTCCTAGATTTATTGCCCAGGCACTATACACAATCCCCTGCTCCATCCCTTGTTAATATAATCTATCAAGTTGAATGAAATAAATCGTATTAATCAAGCAGTAGGAGTTGTACATAAAACCAATGGTTTCATCATAAAAACACATATACATAAGAAAAAATTTCTTGTTGTTATTTGGGAGTGGGAGTTGATTATAAAATATAGCCTGGAGGGCCTAGGTAAACTCAATATGGTCAATGTTAACTCTCTAAAATATACATTGACCTCCTATTTGTTGTAAAATGCTGTTTATCATTTAGGGGTCTACCAGAGAGTCTTAATTATCACTTTCTTAACCTCTACAATGGAGAGGATTTTAATAATTTTGACTATAGGCTACTGAGAGCTTTTTTAACATAATAACTCAAAAGATGATATGTGAAGAGAATTTTAGTAGCAATGTGCTTCATTATGGCTTTTTGAAACCCTGCAGCACAAAGTACTACAAAGAATTCATACGCAGGCTGTTTTATTCAGGTACAAGATAAAGTAAGAAATGAAAGAACTAAAGAACTCCCCAAAACCATCTGCAACAGCCAGGTCAGGAATTTAAGAAACAATAGCTTTATATAGAAATAACTAGTTCAACTCACTTCAATTAGCCCACCTTCTCTAGGATAGACAATCTCTTCTAACAATCTTTATGAATACGGGAAACTGGATTATTGGGCTGGATCATGTTTCCATTCACTGATTGCTTTGTGTGATTTCACCAACCTCACTGCCTGTCAAGCAACTCTGTACCTTTATCCCTCTGTTGGATGCTTTGTCTAAGAAAATGAATTTCCCAGAAAGATAAGGACGCTTTTCTTTTCAGCCACATAACATAGAAAATTGTGTTTTTTTTAGCCGTAATCTTCAAACACTCCAAAGTGACCAACAAACAGTGCCTTGCTGTGCAATGAGATTTAAACATTGGAAGAGCAATTGCCAGAGCATGCACCTCAGAATTAAATGATATGAAAATAGGATGCTTTGTGTAAGAAGAGGGAAAGATGTGTTGAAATAGTCTGATTTAGGTTGATTTAAATTGTTCTTCACAGGAGAAAGGAAGAGAAGAACCTGTTCAAATCCACAGCCAGGTGCCACATATGTGGACATGAACACAGTATGACAAAGGTTCTACCCTCAAGAAAACACCTTTTGCTAAGCTTTTCACAGAAACTGAAATGAGCCTGCCTTTCTCTGTTCATACTCATCCACAGCATCGTGTATCCACAGACAATATCACACTGTTTTGATTGATGCTCCCATTAAGATGGCTTGGCTATCGTTTTGTGTTCCCATTCTTACCTAGATAAACAATTTTTTTTGGATACAGAATAAGAAAGAGAATCTAGTATGTAAATGAAACAAAAATCACATATCTTTTATACTTTTGCAGATGCACTGGATACTTTTGCAAAGATCTCCCTGTTCCACTATGCATAGGGTTGAGAGAGAGGGGAACCAGTCAAAGCCTAACAGCATTTGAGAATTGTGTAGCAGGCACTGTGCCTTACAGACACGTGAAAGAGTCTGTTGTTTGTTTCTCTGGAGAATTTGCCTCACTTATGCTCTGCCTTGAAAACACTTTTCCTAGGAATATGCATGATCTTTTCCTTCTCTTTCTTGAAGGCTTTGCTAAAACTTCACTGCTCCACACAGGTGGTCTCTGATCATCCTATTTTAATACTACGCCACTTCATGCTATTCCCCATTCCTTCCACTGTTTTTTTTTTTTTTTTTTTTTTTTTTTTTTTTTTTTTTGAGACGGAGTCTCGCTCTGTCGCCCAGGCTGGAGTGCAGTGGCGGGATCTCGGCTCACTGCAAGCTCCGCCTCCCGGGTTCACGCCATTCTCCTGCCTCAGCCTCCCAAGTAGCTGGGACTACAGGCGCCCGCCACTACGCCCGGCTAATTTTTTGTATTTTTAGTAGACACGGGGTTTCACCGTTTTAGCCGGGATGGTCTCGATCTCCTGACCTCGTGATCCGCCCGCCTTGGCCTCCCAAAGTGCTGGGATTACAGGCGTGAGCCACCGTTCCTTCCACTGGTATTCTTCGTAGCCCTTCTCATCATCCGGCTATTGTACATTTATTTGTTTTGTTTTTTATCTGTCCTTTCGAACTACCTCCTCTAACACACACACACACTACAACACAAGTTTGATGAACTTAGAGATTTTCTTATTGCCTGCTATTTCTCCAATACCTAGAACAGAGCCTGGCGCACATGTGTTGAACAAATGAATAAATTCTTTATCCTCCCTTAAGTGTTACTAAATCAAATTTCCTTACTTGGAGTATTTGCTAAAGTTTCTGATTTACTGATTAAATGCTTCGTTATCCAAAACTTAAATCCCACAGTTTACTGAGCATTTACTTTGTTGTCACCACTACATCTATTTAGAAGTCAGAGGCAGGAGAATGGCGTGAACCCGGGAGGCGGAGCTTGCAGTGAGCCAAGACTGCGCCACTGCACTCCAGCCTGGGCGACAGAGCGAGACTCCGTATCAAAAAGAAAAAAAAAAAAAAAGTCAGAGGAGAAGGGAGGAAACAAATTTGTAATAAACTGTGCAACACACAAACTGTAATATCCCACATGGACTGTGACTTGGGATTCTTCATACAATACAGATGTTTGTTCATTTCTTCTTTAATAAATCCATCATTATTTATGATGCTTAATGGGCATCCCAGTGGAGATATTGAGAAGGCAATAGGACTTAAAACCTTGAGTTCAAGAGAGAGGCCCAGAGTGAAGACAGAATTAGGAATCATCAGCATTTTAATGATATTTAAAACCATAATACTGCATGAGATCACTAAGGAAGCATGTGTAGGTAGAAACAAGAAAAGGACCCAGGACTGAGACCTGGGCTTTCCAACATTTAGAGGCTAGGTGTTGAGAAAGTAGCAGCAGAGATTGAACAGGAGTTTCAGAGAAGCAAGAGAAAAACCAGGTAAGGGTGGGGTCTGAAATTCAACTGAAGATAGTCTGTCAAGTAGAGGAGAGAGGGAGGAGTGGGGACTATCTGAATTAAATGCTGCTGATAGTTAAGAAAGATAGGGATTTGAGTGAGTTTCTTAATCCTGAGTTCTACTTTGATTGCACTGTGGTCTGAGAGACAGTTTTTTATCATTTCTGTTCTTTTACATTTGCTGAGGAGAGCTTTACTTCCAACTATGTGGTCAATTTTGGAATAGGTGTGGTGTGGTGCTGAAAAGAATGTATATTCTGTTGATTTGGGGTGGAGAGTTCTGTAGATGTCTTTTAGGTCCGCTTGGTGCAGAGCTGAGTTCAATTCCTGGATACCTTGTTAACTTTCTGTCTCGTTGATCTGTGTAATGTTGACAGTGGGGTGTTAAAGTCTCCCATTATTATTGTGTGGGAGTCTAAGTCTCTTTGTAGGTCACTAAGGACTTGCTTTATGAATCTGGGTGCTCCCGTATTGGGTGGATATATATTTAGGATAGTTAGTTCTTCTTGTTGAATTGATCCCTTTACCATTATGTAAGGGCCTTCTTTGTCTCTTTTGATCTTTGTTGGTTTAAAGTCTGTTTTATCAGAGACTAGGATTGCAACCCCTGCCTTTTTTGTTTTCCACTTGCTTGGTAGATCTTCCTCCATCACTTTGTTTTGTGCCTATGTGTGTCTCTGCACGTGAGATGGATTTCCTGAATACCGCACACTGATGGGTCTTGACTCTATCCAATTTGCCAGTCTGTGCCTTTTAATTGGAGCATTTAGCCCATTTACATTTAAGGTTAGTATTGTTATGTGTGAATTTGATCCTGTCATTATGATGTTAGCTGGTTATTTTGCTCATTAGTTGATGCAGTTTCTTCCTAGCCTTGATGGTCTTTACAGTTTGGCATGTTTTTGCAGCAGGTGGTACTGGTTGTTTCTTTCCATGTTTAGTGCTTCCTTCAGGAGCTCTTCTAGGGCAGGCCTGGTGGTGACAAAATCTCTCCGCATTTGCTTGTCTGTAAAGTATTTTATTTCTCCTTCACTTATGAAGCTTAGTTTGGCTGGATATGAAATTCTGGGTTGAAAATTCTTTTCTTTAAGAATGTTGAATATTGGCCCCCACTCTCTTCTGGCTTGTAGAGTTTCTGCCGAGAGATCCGCTGTTAGTCTGATGGGCTTCCCTTTGTGGGTAACCTGACCTTTCTCTCTGGCTGCCCTTAACACTTTTTCCTTCATTTCAACTTTGGTGAATCTGACAATTATGTGTCTTGGAGTTGCTCTTCTCAAGGAGTATCTTTGTGTCATTCTCTGTATTTCCTGAATTTGAATGTTGGCCTGCCTTGCTAGATTGGGGAAGTTCTCCTGGATAATATCTGCAGAGTGTTTTCCAACTTGGTTCCGTTCTCCCCATCACTTTCAGGTACACCAGTTAGACGAAGATTTGGTCTTTTCGCATAGTCCCATATTTATTGGAGGCTTTGTTCATTTCTTTTTATTCTTTTTTCTCTAAATTTCTCTTCACGCTTCATTTCATTCATTTTGTCTTCCATTGCTGATACCCTTTCTTCCAGTTGATTGCATTGGTTACTGAGGCTTCTGCATTTGTCACGTAGTCCTCGTGCCATGGTTTTTAGCTCCATCAGGTCCTTTAAGGACTTCTCTGCATTGGTTATTCTAGTTATCCATTCATCTACTTTTTTTTCAAAGTTTTCAGTTTCTTTGCCATCAGTTCGAACTTCCTCCTTTAGCTCGGAGTAGTTTGATCTTCTGAAGCCTTCCTCTCTCAACTCGTCAAAGTCATTCTCCATCCAGCTTTGTTCTGTTGCTGGTGAGGAGCTGCGTTCCTTTGGAGGAGGAGAGGCACTCTGATTTTTAGAGTTTCTGGGTTTTCTGCTCTGTTTATTCCCCATCTTTGTAGTTTTATCTACCTTTGGTCTTTGATGATGGTGACGTACAGATGGGTCATTGGTGTGGATGTCCTTTCTGTTTGTTAGTTTTCCTTCTAACATTCAGGACCCTCAGCTGCAGGTTTGTTGGAGTTTACTGGAGGTCCACTCCAGACCCTGTTTGCCTGGCTATCAGCAGCAGTGGCTGCAGAACAGTGGATATTGGTGAACCACAAATGCTGCTGCCTGATCGTTCCTCTGGAAGTTTTGTGTCAGAGGAGTACCCGGCCGTGTGAGGTGTGAGTCCGCCCCTACTAGGGGGTGCCTCCCAGTTAGGCTACTCGGGGGTCAGAGACCCACTTGAGGAGGCAGCCTGCCCATTCTCAGATCTCAAGCTGCGTGCTGGGAGAACCACTACTCTCTTCAAAGCTGTCAGACAAGGACATTTAAGTCTGCAGAGGTTATTGCTGTCTTTTGTTTGTCTGTGCCCTGCCCACAGAGGTGGAGCCTACAGAGGCAGGCAGGCCTTCTTTCGCTGTGGTGGGCTCCACCCAGTTCGAGCTTCCCGGGCACTTTGTTTACCTACTCAAGCCTGAGCAATGGCGGGCGCCCCACCCCCAGCCTCACTGCCACCTTGCAGTTTGATCTCAGACTGCTGTGCTAGCAATGAGCAAGGCTCCGTGGGCGTAGGACCTTCTGAGCCATGTGTGGGATATAATCTCCTGGTGTGCCGTTCGTTAAGCCCATTGGAAAAGCACAGTATTAGGGTGGGAGTGACCTGATTTTCCAGGTGCTGTCTGTCACCCCTTTCTTTGACTAGGAAAGGGAATTCCCTGACCCCTTGCACTTCCTGGGTGAGGTGATGCCTCGCCCTGCTTTGGCTCAGGCACAGTGTGCTGCACCCACTGTCCTGTACCCACTGTCCGGCACTCCCCAGTGAGATGAACCCGGTACCTCAGTTGGAAATGCAGAAATCACCCGTCTTCTGCGTCGCTCATGCTGGGAACTATAGACTGGAGCTGTTCCTATTCGGCCATCTTGGCTCCTGAATGACTACTGGGTGCGTAATGAAATGAAGGCAGAAATAAAGATGTTCTTTGAAACCAATGAGAACAAAGACACAACATACCAGAATCTCTGGGACACATTCAAAGCAGTGTGTAGAGGGAAATTTATAGCACTAAATGCCCACAAAAGAAAGCAGGAAAGATCTAAAATTAACACCCTAACATCACAATTAAAAGAACTAGAGAAGCAAGACCAAACACATTCAAAAGCTAGCAGAAGGCAAGAAATAGCTAAGATCAGAGCAGAACTGAAGGAAATAGAGACACAAAAAACCCTTCGAAAAATCAATGAATCCAGGAGCTGGTTTTCTGAAAAGATCAACAAAATTGATAGACCACTAGCAAGACTAATAAAGAAAAAAAGAGAGAAGAATCAAATAGACGCAATACAAAATTACAAAGCGGATATCACCACCGATCCCACAGAAATACAAACTACCATCAGAGAATACTATAAACACCTCTACACAAATAAACTAGAAAATCTAGAGGAAATGGATAGATTCCTTGACACATACACCCTCCAAGAATAAACCAGGAAGAAGTTGAATCTCTGAATAGACCAGTAACAGGCTCTGAAATTGAGGCAATAATTAATAGCTTACCAACCAAAAAAAGTCCAGGACCAGATGGATTCACAGCTGAATTCTACCAGAGTTACAAGGAGGAGCTGGTACCATTCCTTCTGAAACTATTCCACTCAATAGAAAAAGAGGGAATCCTCCCTAACTCATTTTATGAGGCCAGCATCATCCTGATACCAAATCCTGGCAGAGACACAACAAAAAAAAGAGAATTTTAGACCAATATCATTTATGAACATTGATGCAAAAATCCTCAATAAAATACTGGCAAACCAAATCCAGCAATATATCAAAAAGCTTATCCACCATGATCAAGTGGGTTTCATCCCTGGGAAGCAAGACTGGTTCAACATACAAAAATCAATAAACATAATCCAGCATATAAACAGAACCAAAGACAAAAACCACATGATTATCTCAATAGATGCAGAAAAGGCCTTTGACAAAATTCAACAGCCCCTCATGCTAAAAACTCTCAATAAATTAGGTATTCATGGGATGTATGTCAAAATAATAAGAGCTATCTATGACAAACCCACAGCCAATATCATACTGAATGGACAAAAACTGGAAGCATTCCCATTGAAAAGTGGCACAAGACAGGGATGCCCTCTCTCACCACTCCTATTCAACATAGTGTTGGAAGTTCTGGCCAGGGCAATCAGGTAGGAGAAGGAAATAAAGGGCATTCAATTAGGAAAAGAGGAAGTCAAATTGTCCCTGTTTGCAGATGACATGATTGTATATCTAGGAAACCCCATCTTCTCAGCCCAAAATCTCCTTAAGCTGATAAGCAACTTGAGCAAAGTCCCAGGATACAAAATCAATGTGCAAAAGTCACAAGCGTTCTTATACACCAATAACAGACAAACAGAGAGCCAAATCATGAGTGAACTCCCATTCACAATTGCTTCAAAGAGAATAAAATACCTAGGAATCCAACTTACGAGGGATGTGAAGGACCTCTTCAAGGAGAACTACAAACCACTGCTCAATGAAATAAAAGAGGATACAAACAAATGGAAGAACATTCCATGCTCATGGGTAGGAAGAATCAATATCGTGAAAATGGCCATACTGCCCAAAGTAATTTATACATTCAATGCCATCCCCATCAAGCTACCAATGACTTTCTTCACAGAATTGGAAAAAACTACTTTAAAGTTCATATGGAACCAAAAAAGAGCCCGCATTGCCAAGTCAATCCTAAGCCAAAAGAACAAAGCTGGAGGCATCATGCTACCTGACTTCAAACTATACTACAAGGCTACAGTAACCAAAACAGCATGGTACTGGTACCAAAACAGAGATATAGACCAATGGAACAGAACAGAGCCCTCAGAAATAATGCTGCATATCTACAACTATCTGATCTTTGACAAACCTGAGAAAAACAAGCCATGGGGAAAGGATTCCCTATTTAATAAATGGTGCTGGGAAAACAGGCTAGCCATATGTAGAAAGCTGAAACTGGATCCCTTCCTTACACCTTATACAAAAATTAATTCAAGATGGATTAAAGACTTAAACGTTAGACCTAAAACCATAAAAACCCTAGAAGAAAACCTAGGCAATACCATTCAGGACATAGGCATGGGCAAGGACTTCATGTCTAAAACACCAAAAGCAATGGCAAGAAAAGCCAAAATTGACAAATGGGATCTAATTAAACTAAAGAGCTTCTGCACAGCAAAAGATACTACCATCAGAGTGAACAGGCAACCTACAGAATGGGAGAAAATTTTTGCAACCTACTCATCTGACAAAGGGCTAATATCCAGAATCTACAATGAACTCAAACAAATTTACAAGAAGGAAACAAACAACCCCATCAAAAAGTGGGCGAAGGATATGAACAGACACTTCTCAAAAGAAGACATTTATGCAGCCAAAAAACACATGAAAAAATGCTCATCATCACTGGCCATCAGAGAAATGCAAATCAAAACCACAATGAGATACCATCTCACACCAGTTAGAATGGCGATCATTAAAAAGTCAGGAAACAACAGGTGCTGGAGCGGATGTAGAGAAATAGGAACACTTTTACACTGTTGGTGGAACTGTAAATTGGTTCAACCATTGTGGAAGTCAGTGTGGCGATTCCTCAGGGATCTAGAACTAGAAATACCATTTGACCCAGCCATCCCATTACTGGGTATATACCCAAAGGATTATAAATCATGCTGCTATAAAGATACATGCACACATATGTTTATTGTGGCACTATTCATAATAGCAAAGACTTGGAACCAACCCAAATGTCCAACAATGATAGACTGGATTAAGAAAATGTGGCACATATGCACCAGGAATACTATGCAGCCATAAAAAATGATGAGTTCATGTCCTTTGTAGGGACATGGATGAAGCTGGAAACCATCATTCTCAGCAAACTATCGCAAGGACAAAAAACCAAACACCACATGTTCTCAGTCATAGGTGGGAATTGAACGATGAGAACACCTGGACACAGGAAGGGGAACATCACACACCAGGGACTGTTGTGGGGTGGGGGGAGGGGGGAGAGATAGCACTGGGAGATATACCTAATGCTAAATGACGAGTTAATGGGTGCAGCACACCAACATGGCACACGTTTTGATATGTAACAAACCTGCACATTGTGCACATGTACCCTAAAACTTAAAGTATAATAATAATAAAAAAAAGAAAAAAAAAAAGAAAGATAGGGATAGTGAACTGGTTATTTGCTTTAGCAAAAACGAAATCTATGACGTTGATAGGAGGAATTTGGTTATAGTGATGTGGGCATGAGAGTTAGAAAAGACACGAATGACAGACAGTTTTCTTGAGTTGCTTCTGTATAAAGCAAAGGAGCAAAACAGCACAAGGTAGAGTAGAAAGAGAAAATTGTTGTGGCTGTTTTTAAAATAAGAGAAATAATAGCATGTTGTAGTCTGCTGTAGTCCACTTCCCACAAGCCAGCTGCAGAAAAGATTTGCCTTCTTCGGCTTCAAGCGATTATACTATGTGTCTTAGTTACTTCAAATGCCAGAATTCACACGATAAGAATTTCTTTGCAGCAAAGTATGCTAACACTTCATAAGTCAATGCATTGCATTCTACCAGGCAATATTGGTTTTCCGACATATGAATGGGAAAGGAGCTTAATATCAACGAGAGAGCGATTTATTTGGCTGGCTTTATTTTATTAAAATAGAATGAAAATGAATGTATGGAGCCAGATACCTCTACAGCACTGAGAAATTTTTGGTTAAATTAATCCCCTTTAAAGCTATTATGTAACAGAAATATATTGCTCCATGGCACTTTGACTACAGATAATATCATTTTTTAAAAATATTGGCCAAAGTCTCCAAATATCTAAGTTGGTGAAATTTTCAGTACTAGACAGTTCTCAAAGCTCTGTTCCCACTTCTTTTATTATATAAGAACCCTAGGATTTGCCTCGTATTTTAAAACATACTGAGAAATAGGACAGGTTCTGGTTGCCAGTGTTAAGATCCCTGTTTGAATCCTTGTAGTCCAGCCAATGCCAGCAACAATACTGGAAGCTTTCTCCAGTGGGCCAAGTTTGAATACAGGAGGTGCCAGGGCAAAGCTACAGAGCTCAGTGTTCAGTATTCACAAGCCACCAAGCAGGCATCCCCATCCAGAACCCAGCCCTTCAGAGGAACTGTTTGGGCAGGTACAACTCACTGTGATATTGGAAAATCTGTTATCCTCCTCCCAGTTAGGGAGGCTCCAATGCCATCCTTTCAGCATCCCTCCCCACACTAAATGTCTGCATTTAGATAAGCTTAGTTTAATCACTTATGTAAGTCTAAGCCCTTCAAAAACAAAAGCCTCTTTAGAGATTTCCTTCTGGGCACTTTGTCTACCCTGAAATTTCCTTTTTCTGCCAACAAATGCACAAAAAGAGTTTACTCTTGGAACACAGAGATTTTAAGGATGAAGGGCCACCCAGGGAAGAGCAAGGTATCAGGGCAGAGCTTTCTCAAATGAATCACCCTGCTGAGCTAGCATTCAAATTGTAATCACAGAGTAAACCATTAGTCAGAAGTTGGAAACTATTATATCCCTTTCAGTTATTCTCTATTGTTTTTCTATAGCTCTAAGATGTAGAGGCTCTGCAGATTATAAGATTTTTGTTCTTCTTACTCACTAGCAGTTGAGTGTGAGTCCAACCGTGCAGGGCCATGGTCAGGTACTGATTGCCAGCTGTGCTTTCTGAGAGATTGAAGCAGCTGGGTGTTAAGGTGATGCTGTGTCCCACACAGTGCTAAAAAATACGTCTTCCAATCCAACTAGAAGAAACACTTTATTGCCAGTCTTGCTTACTGCTGTATTTCAAACACCCCATAAGGTTTTAATAAATATTTGATGAATGGGTGAAACCAAAAGAGGAGCTAAACCTATAGAATTGGTGAAGAAGTAGTCTTAAATGCAGAACAACAGGTTACGTGAAGAAATTGTATATCGGTTAAGAGTGACATGATTAAATGTAGGCTTTTGAAAGATTAATCTGGTAGCTCTATATGTGCATGTTGGAAAGTTGAAATGGAGATAGAATTAAAATTGTATGGCATTGGGGGAAGCCGGGGGAGGAGTACATAGAACAACACTGTTTTACAACTTCCTTTGCATCTGCAATTATTTCAAAATAAAAAGTTTAAAAAGAAATGTTATTGCAGTGTTCCTAAGTTGAAATAATCATGATTGAGATTACAAAAGTAATGAAATAAAGATGTTATGGTCTGAATGTCCCCCAAAATTCATGTATTCAAACTCAGTCTCTATCATGGTGGTAATAAGAGGCGGCACTTTGGGGAAAGGATTATGTCATGAGGGCTGTGCCCTCATGAATGGATTAGTGCCTTATAAAAGTGCTGCAGGGAACTGGTTGAGTTTTCCTCTCTTGCCTTTCTGTTCCTGCCAGTGCCTTGATCTTGGAGTCTGCAGTCTTCAAAACCATGTGCAATAAATGTCTATTGCTTATAAATTACCTAGTCTGTGGTATTTTGTTATAGCAACACAAATTGACTAAGACAGGAAATTTATATGGGAAAAATATTGTGAGAAAAAAGTGAATGATGTGCCTTAGTTTAGTATGTTTTGATTTACACATTTGCATTAATGAGAGCTTTCTCTTTAGATATTTTATTAGCGTACTCAAATTGAATACTTTGAGCTTCAATAGCCAACAATCCACAAAAACAGATAATCAGCCGTTGCTGTGTTATACATCTATTAATCTGTAGCAGTCACCTATAGATATCAGTTACAGCTGATCCTTGGGTACCTGATATAGTTTGACTGTGTCCCCACCCAAATCTCATCTTGAATTGTAGCTCCCATAATTCCCACACTGGGAGGTACCCAGTGGAAGGTAATTGAATCATGGAGGTGGGTCTTTCCAATGCTGTTCTAGTGATAGTGAATAAGTCTTATGAGATCTGATGGTTTTATTAAGGGGAGTTCCCCTGCACATGCTCTCTCTTTCCTGCCTCCATGTAAGACGTGACTTTGCTCCTCATTCACCTTCCACTCTGATTGTGAGGCCTCCCCAGCCATGTGGAACAGTGAGTCAATTAAACCTCTTCCTTTTATAAATTACCTAGTCTTGGATATGTCTTTATTAGCAGCATGAGAACAGACTAATACAGTACCATGTCACACTCCCTCTGCTCTTTTCACATTTTATCTACAATTGTCACTTTGCATTGACAGTGTTTGGTCTCAAGAGTGCTATGCATCTCTCTACCTTCTCTGAAGTTTCAGGAATCCTCTTTGCCCACATACAAGTACAGGATTACAGGGGACTCACATCTGCAGGAGAAGTCCTTAAGAATGTTACACAAGTGCTGGTGGACCGTTGCCCCTACCTGCTTTCCTTTGGGAGAAAAATTCAGGGAGACATTCTGTACTGTGTTTAGGAGGTGTTAACATAATCCAATCCCCATTCCCCTCAGCAGCAACCTACATAATGCCCCTTGTATTGGCTCTTTTGTCCCCTCATTCCTGCTTCCTAGAATTATGTCCAAAATAAATAACCCTTACCCAATTAACTGTCTCAGACTCTGCTGTGGGGGAAATTCATACAAATTTGGGGCCAGAAGTTATCATAGAAAGTAGAACTCTGGGATTGAATTCTGAATTTGGATCACTGACATCAGATGGCAAAGATGGCAGTGCTGAAGAGTGGGGTAGCAAGGATTCTGGCATGATGTATGTAGCCTCACAGTTACTAATTACCTGACATCAAATGGACTGGGATAAAGTACAGAGAGAAGAACAAGCGCTGGGTTATTCAGTACCTCTAAGTACATGGACAGGATGAAGGCAATAGAAATTATACAGATTGTTTATTGGCAAGTTTTTTCCTATCTGTCTTGGAATCCTTTCAGAAAAAAAGTGTTAGGCTGGGATATGTCAACCATCAACTCAGGACATGTTGTGAATGCCAGAGGCCTCCTTTATAGCATTTAAAGACTCATCTTTCACAGCATTAGTTGTTTCATGCAAAATATCTGGCCCAGGGATTAACTGAAAGAGTGGCAGAGCTGCAATGGATACTACATACAAAGCTGACAGGCCTCCTGTTCTAAAGTTGGAGTATTGATAGAGAAAGAATAGGATCCTGAGAATTGGTAAGCTTATGTGATTGTGCCTGAATACTGTGAAACCACATATCTCCTTGATGACCTGGCTAGCGGAAGCACTCCCTTCTCTCTTGCTGCAGAAAACCAGCTTAGCCATGTCAGGACAACTTGCAAGGACCTCATTCAAGGTCCTTATAAGACAATGTATGTCCTTCTCCAGAACTGGCTCCACCTTCCCTCATTGCATACAGGCCAATAAATAGGGTCAGGTCTCAGCTTAGGCCAAAAGCAAAAACACTGTCTCTGATATGAGATGAAGTCACCCCTTCACTGAAAGAATTGAAGATCCAGCAAATATGTACTGGGAGGAACCAGGGCAACACGTGTGGGAGTGGATCTCCAGGGTGTTGGACCAGAGAAGAGGTGGAATATAAAGTTAGTTGGGAGTTTATTGATGTAGGGCACTTTCCCAAGACTTGAGAGTTTCAGCAACATTAAGAAAAATGTTCTTAAAGGTGGGCCAGTAAATTTGCTTAGTCCATACACTCTCTCCTTCTGGCCTGACTAGAGATTTATATCCCCAAATTTTCTCTATTTCTTTTTTTTTCTTCTAGTTGTGTTCAAGTTTAAAATGTGCTTCTGGAAAGCTTTAGAAGAAACCTAGGCATTTCAAATATTATCTCATCAAGAATCTTATGGAATCATTAACCGCTTCAACCACTTGCATTTCCTTTTCCTTATTTTATTTTATTTTAGTTTAGTTTATTTTTGAGACAGAGTCTTACTCTTCACCCATGCTGGAGTGACATGGTGCAATCTGGGCTCACTACAACCTCTGCCTCTGGGGCTTAAGCGATCCTCCCACCTCAGCCTCTTGAGTAGTTGAGACCAGAGGCATGCACCACCATGCCCTGCTAATTTTTTTGTATTTTTGTAGAGACAGGGTACTGCCATGTTGACCAGGCTGATCTCAAACTCCTGGGCTCAAGGGATCTGCCCACGTTGACCTCCCAAAGTGCTGGGATTACAGGCATGAGCCACCGTGCCTGGCCTGCATTTCTTTATGGTAATGTTGCTAGTAAAGTAGCTCTGTGCCACAGAAAAATAAAATCATCAACCTGTACCCATTTTATGTTAATATTTTATTTTTCCTTAGATTGACAGATCTGTTTCAACCTTATTATGATTAATTTTATGTGTCAATTTGCCTAGCCATGGGGTGTCCAGATTAAGCATTATTTCCAGGTGTGTCTGTGAGGATGCTTCTGGATGAGACTGGCGTTTCAACTGGTGGACTCAGTAAAGTAGATTGCCCTCCCCACTGTGGCTGGGCATCATCAAATCTATTGAGGGCCTGAATAGAACAAAAGAGAGAGGAAGAAGAAATTCCCTCCTTTTGCTTCTGGTCGGCCTGCTTGAGCTAGGACATTTTCTCTCATCTTTTTAGGTCCTCTCACTAGTATTTACACAATCAGCTGCACTGGTTCTCAGGCCTTTGGACTCTGATTGATTTATGCTACTCGCTTTCCTGTGTCTCCAGCTTGCAGATGGCAGACCATGGGATTTCTCAGCCTTTATAATCATATGAGCCAACTCTTCCTAATAAATCTTATCTCTCCCCGTGCTGCCCACTGACTCTGTTTCTCTGGAGAATCCTGACTAATACAAACCCTAAAATTCTGCTATCTAATCATAGCATTATAAATATAACATTATACATTGCATTTCATATATCATTATAATTTATTATAATTTACATTTGCATTTATATATGCCTTTGGCCATCTCAAACTGGCTCTAAAAATAAGGAAATGCTTGTCTGTCACAACAAATGTCTATAGCTGGGGTGGCTGCAGGTGAGTTACAATCAAGAACAAAGTCATCAAAGAACCAGGTTATTTCCTTTCTTTCCTTTATCTTCCTCAGTGTTTTCTCTTTGTCCTCAGATTGTTTGTCTTCCTTCATTGTTGCAAGAGGTCTGAAGAAGCTCGTGAATTTAGATCTAGACTCATTATACCTGGGGAAAGTGAGAGAGAGGGGGAAAAGCACAACTCTTTAGTGTCTCCTTATCAAGAGCTAGAAAAATCATGTTTGGAATCCCATCCAAAAGACTGCTGCTCTCATATAGGTTACTCGCCCAAACCAAAACAAAAAACAGCAAAGAAACTAGGGCAAGCACCACCAACACTTATTATAATTTATCCCAAGCTGTGGGTAAGATTATCTTTCCTGTGGTCTTGTGGTAACTGAACAAAGTCAGGATTTTGTTAGTGAGGAAGATGGGGAACTTAATGATACATATCAGTTGTATCAGCCATCTGATCTTCAACAAAGCTAACAAAAATAAACAATGGGCAAAAGACTCCCCATACAATAAATGATATTGGGATAGATGGCTAGCCATATGCAGAAGAATGAAACTGGACCCCTACCTTCCACCATATACAAAAATTAACTCAAGATGGAGTAAATATCTAAATGTGAGACCTCAAACTTTAAGAATCCTAGAAGAAAACCTAGGAAACACTATTCTGGACATTGGCATTTGGAAAGAATTTATGACTAAGTCCTCAAAAACAATTTCAATAAAAACAAAAATTGACGAATGAGACTTAATTAAATGAAAGAGTTTCCGTATAGCAAAAGAAACTATCAATAGAGTAAAGAGACAGCCTGTAGATTGGGTGAAAATATTCACAAACTATGTATCCAACAAAGCCCTAATAGCCAGAAACTATATTGCTTAAGGGAATTTAAGCAGTTGAACAATCAAAAAAATAACTCCATTAAAAAGCTGGCAAAACACATGAACAGACACTTCGCAAAAGAAGGCATACAAACAGCCAACAAACATAAAAAATAGTCCACATTACTAATCATCAGGGAAATGCAAGTCAAAACCACAGTGCGATACCATCTCACACCATTCAGAATGGCTATTTTTTAAAAGTCAAAAAAGCAGATGCTGGAGAGGCTGCAGAGAAAGGGGAATGCTTAAACACCGTCGTTGGGAATGTAAATTAGTTCAAGACACTGTGGAAAGCAGTTTGGAGATTTCTCAAAGCACTTAAAACAGAACTACCCAGTAATCCCATTACTGGGTATATACGCGAAGAGAAATAAATCATTCTTCCAAAAAGATGCATACACTCATACATTCATCGTAGGGCTGTTCAAAATAGCAAGTGATATGGAATAAACCTAGGTGCCCATCAACAGTGTATTGGATAAAGAAAATGTGGTACGTATACACCATGAAGTACTGTGCAAACAGAAAATGAAGGAAATGGTTTCCTTTGCAGCAGTAAGAATGCAGCTGGTGACCATTATTCTAAGTGAATTAACACAGGAACAGAAAAACAAATACTGCACTTTCTCACCTACAAGTGGCAGTTAAATATGGAGAACTCATGGACGTAAAAATGGGAACAAAAGACACTGGGAACTCCTGTAGTGGGTGAGAGGGAGGGAGGCAACGGTTGAAAGACTAACTATTGGGCAGTATGCTCAGTATCTGAGTGACGGGAGTAATAATATTCCAAACCTCAGCATCACGCAATATACTCAGGTAACAAATCTACACATGTACCTCCTGAATCCAAAATAAAAGTTGAAATCATTTTAAAAAAATCAGCTGTATCTGCTCTTCACAACTTTTAGTGCAGAGGCTGAGAGCAGGTCAAGAAGGTATTATCTAGGCAACATTCAGCAAAACCAGCCACGTTCATGCTAGGTGCTCTGTAGCAATGTGATCTAGAAATTGCTGTCCATCATTCTGACTGTGGCTGCAGAAACAGAGATCAGTTGGTACTTCACTTCAGCTATTACAACGTAAGGGACCAGAGTCTTGTGACCTAAACTCAACATTTGAAGGCAACCCGAGAATACTACCGAAAAGAAGATAATAAACAACAGCAGATCAAGCAGCTTTGTTTTGTGCTGTTGGCCACAGCAAATGTATTTGGTATATCACTGGCAGCTGCAACTCTCACCATCAGTCCTACATAGTATTAAAGAAAGTTGTGTCTATTTATCTCTGCACAGCCAGTTTCCATAGCCTTGCATCCATGCCAAGCACTTAATATAAGCCAAGGTCTTTTACAGTTGACAGTTCATATGTGGACTTTGGTATACCTTGCTTTATGTTTACAAAATATGTCTAAAACATATGTTGTATCAATTAAAATATATTTTGAATTGACCGTTAGGCTACTTCTTGGAGCAAAACTATAGGGAAAACAGGTAAACTAAGAAAATCCTAGCTGAAGTAAACAATCCCTTCCTCCTTTGTGTAAATTTAGATTTATGCATACTGAGTTTTATATTCAGTTAGACTGAATTTAACTGTTCTCTGTAGTTTCAAATATCTATCTTCATGATTGTCATATCATTTATAGGAATGTTAAAATAATTTCACATGTGAAAACATTTTTTATCTGAAAAAGGATTAAATTCTACAAGATGAAAATACACAAAAGTGTTTCATAGTTAAATTTTAAAATGTAAAATACAAAAATTTTCAAACCCATTCAGTGGATCTACATTTCCACAGTCGACCTTCATAAAAAAGGATACTTTCATCACTTATCCTATTCATGAAACAAAACTATCAAAAATTGACTTTATATAAAAACTTTTGCACATGCATTTTGTATTCTTTCTTCTTACTGTTTTTGAGTCACTTAGTTCAGCCAGATTCAGACATGCCTGTTTAAAGAATCACACTCTCACAGATTGCAACAACCATAAACCACCCTTTGCTAGAAGGAGAACTAGTTTTGTCATTGCTGTAGTTTTAATGTGCTCCTGTAGACTCTGGGTGTTCACATTGGCCATGTGTGCATTAGATTGAGTGGATTAACAAACTTAATTGACCTCCACAGTTCTTATTTTGTTTTTTTGTTGTTTATATGTATGCTTAGTGGTGGGTTTTTGGGTTGGTTGGTTGGTTTGAGGATGAAAACCCCCAACAAAACTAAAGTACAATATTCCATGAAATAACACAAAAGCTGCTTGTATCTTTTGGAATTTGGTGCAATCCATATTATAGAAAAAGAAAAATAAATGGATAAACAAGGCTTAAACAAAATAGAGTTTTATTTTTCTCATGGGCAAAGTGAATCTGGAGGATGCAGTCAAGACGGTGGAAGTTCCAGGATCCTCAGACTCATGCTCTTTCCTTATCTCTGTTCTACCTCTGAGCCTGTGGCTTCTGTCATCAGGGTAAACTCATAGTCCAAGTCAGCTGCCAAAAGTTCTGTCATTTTGTTCACCATCCAGGAAGCAGTTGAGTCAGCTTCTCTTTACCATTATTCCCAGAAAGTCCACACAATGCATTTGTTAACACCTTGTTAATCAGAACTACTAGAAAATGAAATACTTTAGATGGGTACGTTACATCCCCAAATAAAATTTAGATTCTCCAACTGAGGATGAAAGCAAAGATGTGTAGGCCTTTACTAAGTAGCCTTCCTCATATACTTCTAGAGCAAAAAGGACAAATGAAGAGGAGGAGGGGGAGGAAGAAGAGAAAGGAGAAAACAAGTTTTGAATGTATTTTTTAAAAGTATCTAGAAGTAAAGAATTGGTTTCTTTACTGCAGAGTTGGTAAATGGGTTATCATTCCTGTCAAAATTCAGCTGTCTGCTTAAACAGATCTCAGATTTTGACTGACATCTCCCAAATACTCAAATCCAAGGCATATCACAACTGCCTTCCTAACAAGCCCAAACCTTATTTTCCACATTTTGCTTAGGTTTCCCAACTGCACCCATTATTATAATAAATAAAACACAGAGGTGACAGTTCAATTATCAGATGTAATAGGGCCAAAGAGGGGTAGCTTGTAATCACATTAGGAAGTTCATTTTTGACAATTTATAACATCCCCAACTGAAGTACTTCCCGATCGCAACTAGTTTTCTAACTTACACCAGATTTTTCTCAATAAATAGTAGAGAAAATAAAAATATTAATATCATGAGAGAATTAAACTTTGGTTATAGCAAAGGTTTCCAGTCAGTTCTCATATACATCCAAAAAGAAAGGCAAAACTAAGCCAATCTCTAGTTTTCTAGACACTGTTCAGAAGTGCTTTAAATGAATCTCTTTGCAATAATTGCTCGTATATAATTTTTTTAAATGTATGTACATTTTTTTCTTTTCAAAAATCAGAGCAATTAACCTACTTGGGGCAGATGTCATAGCAATAATTACCAGAATATATTTAGAAAAAGGTGACACAAGTGTGGTTCCATAGTCTTTTATCAGACATGAAGGCTTCCTTCTGTCAGCTATGTTAAAATTACTTGTACATGTTCTATTTTGAGCTCAATTCAGGTGGGCTACAGGAGGTGGAGAGGAGAGACAAGAAAATAAAAAAATTAAACATTGACGAAATACTACCATGTGCCAGGTACCATATTAATGGTTCTGCATGTATTTTCATATTTATCTGCCATAACTAATTTATGAGCATGTTTTTAGTCCCATTTTATTGGCAAGAAAAAGTAATGCAGACAGAATAAGGTCTTTCTTAACAGGTTTCCTGGGAAGACAAGCAGCCTGTGTTGTCCCAGTGTGCCTGGTTCCCACTTTTTCCTTTGGGACAGCATGCCTAGCATGTTTGTTTGGGTTGTTACATCCTCAGAAGTTATGCATATATTTAAAAGCTTCTTAAAGACAAACAGTGTAGGGACTGCAGGAGGGAAGAGGAAATACACTTCCAAGCAAGGATTTAGGGACCAAATTTACTCCCTTCTGGAAAGTGAGGTAAAAAACAGAACTTGGTAGCTTTGGAGCCACGATAGTATAAATGGACTCCCTTGTAGCTAAAAGGCAGGGCTGTGTGAATTCCAGAGGCTTCCTGGAGCATGTTCTAAAAAGTCACATTTCTCCATTCTGAAAAACAAATAAGCAGTTGACTGGAGCAGAACAAGAGATAACTCATGCTAGATAAGCTTTTGTAGGAGAGTGGTGGTGGTACAGGGACTTTGGGAATTTGGATAGTGGCAGAAAGCATGAAGTATAGTAACAGTAACACAAACAGCAAAAGACAATTGGGTGCTGTGGAGAAGAGCAAGGAAAAAGCATTTTGTCACAGGGGTGAGCTTACGAGAAGCCATGGTGAATAGGCAGGACAACAGGGCATATCTTCTCTGGGTGTCACTGAAGCCTTTCATCCATTGTGCTTAAGAAAATAGAGCCTCAGGATCCCAAACCCACTATGCCAAAGGGAAAGTTAAGCTTGGGAAGTGAGTCCCGCAAAAATCTGCCTGCCTTTTGTTCCCAAGCAGATAGCTGCAATTTCACTACGCTATGTCATAGCCTCATACTTAAGTAGTTTACAGCAATGATAAAAGGTCACATATCTCCTCAGATAGCCTCGCTCACAAATTGCTCACAAGTAAATTCCATGTGGGCCTCCGAATCTTTCAGAATACACATCTTCTCTATAACTAGCCCTAAAACAGAGTTCTGTTGAATGTCACCCTGACATTGTAAGTTACCAGCTTATCTTCACAGGTATGGAACAAGGACATGACTAGGAATCAGCCTCTGCCCGCCCCAAGACAAATGCATAATTTACTTCTTCCTCTACTCAGTCTTTTTACGTTTACTTTATCTTTTGTAACATGTAGATTTATGAGCACAAGACAAAGGCGTAACTGACTTTTCTTCTACCCCTCTTTTCACACATAAAATGCAGATTCACTCAGCATTAATCAAAGCCTCCCAACAATACAAACACTTGCCTCATTGCCTACCCTCTCCACCCCATCTTTCTTCCTTCTTCTAAATCGATGGAGACCTGCCTCAGACACTTTTTGGTTTACAAGTGTTAAATAGACACACTTTAGAAGTTGTGTGAGGACTATGTCAATATTTATGAACCAGGAGGCACACAGGATGTGGAAGAGAAAGAAACTCATGAACCACTCAGTGAAAGTATTTACATGCGTTTCATAATAAATTCCGGCCAAGCTGAAGTAAACGGGCCTAGTTTAAGAAACACTCCTTCATTAGTGAGCACACAGGCGCACACACACACACACTCGCTCGCGCATCACTTTCTATCATCCAAAACAATTTTGGTCTCTAACTCTTATTATCCTACAGGTGAAAAGAAAGAATGAGGAAGTGAACGAATCACTGCTAAAGATAAAGCATCCTTCATCTCTAGTTTGTTCTTCATGCCTGATGGGGCTGTTTATGAGGAGGTAGAAATAAAGAGCATGTGGACCAAAAATGGTCAGGTCACTTTCTTTGGAATATACAGCTTATCCTCATCACATCTTTTCAATTCTAAATCTTCCAGAAGCCACTGTATTACTGAATGCAGTTAGTTAGTTATTTTGCTATTTCCTTTTCCAAGCAATTTGAGGTGATCACATCATTCTTCATTATCTCTCTGAGGATTTCACATATTTCCTGTCTATCCAGTTTTTATTTGATACAGGAAGCTCATAAATAATAGCTGAAATTTTACAGAACTATTTAAGGGCAATTGTTTCTGTGACTATATAGTCAAACAGTTTCCCCATCTAAAATAGAAGATTAAGGCAGCAACACTGCTTTCTGCAGTTGACTCACAATTTCACATAGGTGAATAACTAAATAAAAGGAAGCAGAAAATGTAAAATTGGTGGTAACATTTACTAAGTGTTTTTTTCTTCCCGTTGTATTGGACCCAGCACATGCTGTTCATAGACGTGTAATACATGTTGCAATCAAGTGCAATAGAACTTTAAAGTTGAATATTTTTAATCCATAGGAATAAGTACTTTTAATTTCCAGAGTAAGAAAACTAAACTTAATATCTAATCAGTTTTCTTCAAGATACAGTAATCACTCTTATTGTTAATAGAAAGAATATTTACTCCCAGTAAATCATAAAACCTCAAACATGAGCTGAGCATGGTGATACAAGCTTATAGTATAAGCTACTTGAAAGGCTGAGGAAAGACGATTACTTAAGCCCAGGAGTTCAAGGATGCAGTGAGCTATGATCACACCAGTGCACTTCAGCCTGGCCGATGGAGTAAGATCCCATCTCTAAATAGGTCAATTTTAAAAATTTTTTTAAATAATAAATAACAAAAAGACTCTCAAACATGATCTGGGAAAATGAACAGCACAGCAGTACTTTATAACAGCCAGCTCCATCTTGGTACTGCAGTTCTTCAGTCACAGCCACTTGCAGATCTATTGTTTGAAACAACGTAACGCAAAAGCCAGCACAAACCCTGTTTTCATTTCCTTGTGACAAAGATGAATTGAGTGGCTGGTTTGGAAAATAGAAACCTTATGGTAGACTAGAGGTTTTCTAGCCACATATGAATGACTAGAAAGTACTATGTATAATATTTCCACCAGCCAAATAGCTTCTTTCAAAGTGTTGTGGATAAAGTGGTCACAGAGTTCATTTACCACAGAATTAGTGACATTGAACTTCAAATAAATCATGGTAAACAAACAAACAAACAAAAAAAGCTTGCTAAAGAGCACAGGAAGAGGCAGGAGGTCCTGTGTCACTCAAAGTCTGGAGTTACATACACACAGGTCCTAAGGCTAGCGTCTGTAGCTTAAATAAAAGGAATTTGCTAGATATCCACTAGTTTGTCCTTTCTTACTGCCCTTAACTCCAAACTCCATCCTTTGAAGTTAAGATTAGCTGAGGACTCTTGGATAAACCCTGGGGATCTTGTGTATTTTTACACAATAACCAATGGCTCTCAGATTTTTCTGCCCCCAAAGTGGATTTATGCTTCGTAGTCCTGATCCTTGTAAGTGGGACATAACCAAAGGATAGACTTTAAGTAATTCAAGAAGAAAACATGCTTCAAGCATTTTAAGCAATTCAAGGAGACATTATTTGGTTACTAACAAGTTAGGAGTTGCTGCAGTATATCTGGGTCTGTGCTGATCATCAGCCTTGCTTTGGCAGGCTTCACATTCTCACATCTTCACAAGATTTTGGGCAGATGATGATCTGTTTCATGTGGCATAATGCACCAGGTGCAACAAGATGTAATTGGACTTCTAGGAAATCACAGAGAACAACTATCTCTGAACGTAAGAGGGAGCAACTACGTCTGCATGAGATTCAAGAAACACTACAAAGAAAAGGTAGCTTTTGAAATCCGAGTAGGAATTTGCCAAGTAGGGAATTGGAGGGCACAGATAGAAAGGCATTCCAGAAGGACAAGTCCGTATTTGCAAATAATTTGAAGTATGTTTGCGAAATGGTGAGTAATTCAATATGGCTACAATACAGCATTTATAAACAGGAATGGCAGAAAATGAGGCTGGAGACCTATGTAAGAGCCACAGTATGAAGGACTCAGCAACTACTGCATACAGCACAATGGCTGCCTTCAATGGGGACAAAGTCATGTTCTTTCTCTTACTTCCCACACTTTATTTCTTCCACCATTCCCTCTATGTCCACTCAGACACTTCATTTTCCTTGTTCAATAGAGCCAGGTTTAGAATGGAATGAGCAGGATGCCCAGCAACTCTAGAGATAGGAATCTCCATCCTTGAATTGCTAAGAGCATGAGCAGAAACAGAAGCATTCCTAGAAACCATCTGTGTTATGAATCTTTGTTTATAAGCAGATGAGATTTTGTTGAAATACTGGAAACAGAGTCTAACAGATGAAGACAGACAAATGCTTAACTTTACACACAAAGAACTGCAGTTTTTACTTCCAATCACTATGTAAAAACCTGCAAAGAAAATTAATCCAATCAATGAGAAAATACAGGATAAAATACAAAATCTTAAGTGTTTACAAGCTCATCAGAGAGCTGAGATCGCAAGGCAACCTAACAGTCTGAATTTCAGAGGGGACAAGACTTAAAAGAAAAATGAAGCATATGAAGTCCCTCCACTGTGGCATTTCATGAGGAAAAGAAGTAATCCCTGCAAACGTGGGTAAGAAAAAAAATCAGTAAAATTTTAACAAATCACTAAAGGTTCAGTGTGTACTAGTGTGTCCATCTGGAATAGCGGAAAGACCCAAACACAAGGCAATTTTATATTCATAAGCTCATTTTCACAGGTTTCCATGGGATGTTCATGAGAAAGATTTCAGGATGGACAGGAGACTGCAAACAAAGCCCCTCTCACTGGGCAGGTAAGGTGATCATTGTCTGTTATGGAATAAATTGTGCCCCACCAAAACTTTACATTTCCTGATGCAAAACTTGCATTTCCCTGGTGATTAGTGATATTGAGCAAAGCTTGAGGCATCACACTACTTGATTTTAAAAATGTACTATAAAGCTATAGTAATCAAAACAGCATAGTCCTGGCATAAACACAGACATGTAGACCAGTGGAATACAGAATAGAGAACCAAGAAATAAATTCATGCATTTATGATCCATTCCTCTCTTACAAAGAAACCAAGAACACACAATGAGAAAAGGACAGTCTTTTCAATAAATGGTGTTGGCAAAACTAGATATTCACATGCAGAGGAATAAAACTGGACCATTATCTCATACCACATAGAAAAATTTATTCAAATTGATTATAGATTTAAACATAAGACCCAAAACTGTAATACTACTAAAAGAAAACATGGGGAAAAATTTTTTGCCTTCAGTCTGGGCAATGAATATGACCCTAAAGGCAACAAAAGCAAAAATAGACAAATGGGATTGCATCAAACTAAGAGCTTCTGTGCAAAGGAAACAATCAGCTGAGTGAAGAGAAAATCTATGGGAGAAAATGTGTGTAAACCATATAACTGATAAGAGATTAATATCCAAAATATATAAGGAATGCAAACAATTCAATAGCAAGAAAACAAGTAACTCAATTTAAGAAATGGGCAAAAGACCCAAATAGGCATTTCTTGAAATAAGGCATGTAACTGTCATTTAATTGTCCTTCTGCCTAATTTTTCCCAGCTTCTCTTTGTTGACCACCACAATTTCATTCAAATCAGATTAGAACAATCCCTCTTTTAGAATTCTTACATATATATTTTTTTTTAATTATTATTTTGAGGTGGAGTCTCAATGTGTTGCCAGGCTGGAGTGCAGTAGCGCGATCTTGGCTCACTGCAATCTCCGCCTCCCAGGTTCAAGTGATTCTCCTGCCTCAGCCTCTGGAGTATCTGGGACTACAGGCATGCACCACCACGCCCAGCTAATTTTTGTATTTTTAGTAGGGATGGCGTTTCACCACGTTGGCCAGGGTGGTATTGATCTCTTGATCTCGTGATCTTCCTGCCTCAGCCTCCCAAAGTGCTGGGATTACAGACGTGAGCAACCGTGCCCAGCCCTAGAATTCTTAATTGGATTCCTACCACTCTAAGAATAAAACCCAAACCTTGTTCGTGGTCCACAAAGCCCTATATCATTTGGCTCTGCTTAACCTTCCAACCGTCCCTGTTGTGAGTCAAGCTATCTCTCAGATAGGGTCCTGTATATTTGGTATTCCCTCTGTTTGGAATTTTCTTCCACCAGATCATCATGTAACAAGTTTGATGAAAAGCCATTATTCACATATGTGAGAAAATAAGACACTATAGCTTCAAAAGTCAATGGAAAGCTCTTGCCTCTGATCACCCGCCACCGTTTCAATTTGCTCAAAACATATATATATGATATATATATATATATATCCCATTCTAATTTTAAAATAGCTCATTTTAGTCATTAATGTTTATAGTTCAATCAGGTTGTTAAAATCTCAGCCATCGTGTCTCAGGTCTTCGCTGACTCTCCTACCTAGCATGGTTGCCCACTGCCACCACCGTCCCCACCAGCAGCTTTTTATCACACAATTCTGCACTGTCTTCACAGCATACAGGATTTCCAAAATGATCTAGTTTATTTAGATTTTTTTAATTGCCTAAATTTATCACATCCATATTCCCTAGAATAAGAACAGACAAGATTTCTATTATGAAAAAGTCAATTCCTTGTGTCTGTTTCCATGTCCCTACAGTGCAAATGTTTATTTTGGCTTTCAGTATAGGTTCTAAATATCAAAATGTGAGTGTGGTCTAGAAGTGGTTTTCTGCTGAATGCATTAATTTGCAGTTGAAGGAACCTCCACTCTGTAAGGATCCCAAAAGTATGTGGATAGTGCCAAGCATAAAGTCTTTGAATATGGAAAGGTACAGCCATTGCCAACTTGATTTACTGTTGTGAATTCTAAAATGGCAGCCAACTTTGAGTTTTACCAGAAAAGGTTAAAATATCTGAGAAAATATCATGATTAAATATCTGGCTAATGATTCAGAAATCCATGGAATCGTTCTCAAATGAAAAAAGGAATTTGCATCATTTATATTCCAGCAATGATCGCCACAGCACACGTAAAATAAAGTGATGTGACATGTTTTAAAGATTTTTAAATGCTACCTAAAACAGGAGGAAAGTAAAAAAATTATTCTTACATAACAAATTTTTCAACTAAGACTTACGTAAAGAGAAAATACTATATTCTTTGTTATACGTAGCTTTATCCTTTAGGTATTTCTATTATAAAAGTAAATTTTACAGTGATTTAATAAACTACTTTAATTTGAATAGTTATGCTTTCTTTTCCCTGAAGGCATCCCTCTTTTGTGATTAATGCTGAAAGAAAAGTAAAAGTAAAACAATTTCTCTACTAATCTACGGAGGGCTAGGAACCAGCAGCCAAGAAAACATGGTGCAAATTTTTAAAGTAGTCCAAAGTTCAGTGCTCTCAGGAACTTTTAGGCAATCAACAGGAGATTGTTATGAAACAAAACCAAAAAAAACTCATAAAACCTTATTTTTAAAGATCTATTAATGCACTGTGGTGTTAGCACAACTTTACAACACTGCATATCGCATCACTGGGTGAACAAGAGCATTTCCATAGAGCCATGAAATACTGAGTTTTCATTAAATTATTAGCTCGTTAAAACCATCACATCTGATTCTTGAGTAATTAACATGACTGAGTTACGGCTCTGAAATAAAATGATGTGTAGGTGCCCAGCAGCAGTAATCAATCCCCCAAGTAAGGTAGCAAAGAGTAACAGAATGCTAAGCAGCACTGGCATCAATAAGAAGGGATACTTTTGTTTGCAAAAAATACTAACACTTTCATCTGAAACCATGACCTAAGTAACATGGGATATTTAGTTTGCCTGCTGGTTTTTTTTTTCTGAACTTGCATGATTACAATAAAGAAATGGCATGTTGAGCATATGTCTTCAGTATCTGTGAATAAACTAGCAAGTTGATTGACCTTTTCAAATTTTTTTCTTTTGCTTCTCTTTTTTTTCTTTTTAACTGAATAAATGTGAATGTTCATGAAAGTTCAAGGACTGACAGCTCCAGAGACAGTTGCTCCTTATATTCATAAGTACTGATTCATAATTGGCAGTGTAGATGCTGCCCAGGAGATGGGTTCAATCTGCGTGCTTGATGAGTTCTGGGTTTGCCAATGAAGTTGTTGACAAAGATGGCAATTAGCATCAGGAAGACAGCAGCCAATACAACAACATCTAAGCGAATAGCTGAATTTCTGTTTCGTGTGTATATATATATAACTACATGACTAGCAATCAAAATTGAGGGACCCAGGGGAGATAATGCTATTGTTCAGATCATAGTGTAATGGTAGATACTGTGTGCCACCTTGCCTTTTGAGTCTTTAAAATTCATTTCTGTACTGGTAGAGAAAAGATAACTTTAGAAAAAATAGCAGAACAAGAAGTGTTTTGTCCTCCTCATTAAATCAACAGTTGGACTTCTACATCTCCTTTCTCCAGGTTCCTAAATACCACAGGGATATCTCTTTTTAAAGACTCAAAATTTTAGGAAAAAAATTAACAGGCGCCAGGCAATTAGAACTGAAGGACACCATATTGAACTGAAAAGATTCTGACTGTCAACAGTAAATATAATGTCATACAAAGGCTTCACATTCATCTCTGATGTTTTTCATAGATTTGTGGTTCCCTCATTCATTTTTGCCAACTCCTCCTCTACCCATACCTATTCAGTACCCAGTATTTCTCAAAATGTCAACTTATTCACATTTTCAGTGGAGAGCCAGGAGTCAGTTGCCAATTTAGTCAATTGAAAAGACCACAAACCGAAATCAGTAAGAACTGAGTTTACCAAACCAGAGCTACTAATTCTAAATGAATGACCTTGAACAAAGTATACCACCACCTTGAGCATCTCTTTTTCTAAACGTAAAATGATAGTAAAATAATATACATATTGGGGGGAAAAAAGGATAATAGCTGTAGAAAGTATTGCCGTTATATAGAATGGTTTATAAATGTTAAGAACATGATCTACAATCTAATCAAACTCTTCTGTAGATAATATATACTAATACTAATGCATTAAAATTTTTATGTCTAATCAAATAGTGATTTTAAGTTTGAGCACATCAAAACAAGTAAAAGTGAAGTAATAAGACTATTTTAAAAAATTAGAAAACAATTGTGGCCCTTCTAACTACTGTTTATTATACCTATTCAAAGAACTTGTGTTGATTATGATACTTTGGAGAATTTTCTTTAGGAAATTTTGGGCTGTCATCAGATAATGCATGACATTAGTCAGTAGGCTAACTGTAGGGGAGGATATAATGAGTACATGTGAAATAGAAAATGATTTCAATAGCTTTAGCTTTACTATTATGATCCATGTAATCAAATGATAAATAATCCCTTGCTAGCCTCACCTCTTACCAGGAGCTGTAATTTTTCTCTGCTCAAAGGACAGGTTATATTCTTCTTCTCCCTCACTCTGCCTTGTTGTTAGAGATGGATGATTGGCTTGAACTGGGGCAGATAGGTGCCACGGGAACTAATGCTATAAAAACACTAATTGAGAAATGCTACAATAGTGAAAATTATATTACGTTGATGTAGAATTTGTATTGGGTGCTTTATCTCTAATACAAATATTTACTTTTCTGTGCTTTTATTAGAGTTTCATAAATTGAATGAAATTGATAATATGGAACAAGAAAGAACTCCTTTATGGTGACTCTAAAATAATATTATAGAACCCAGAATCTTTATCAAATTATCTTGGTGAATTACATCCACTTAATAACATTGAGCTTTCATTGCACTGAAAGTAACCACGTTTTCTTTTGACTCTTAGAGCAATATGAAAGCTATTTGGCAGCGTTATGAGTACAAATACTGATAATTATTGATACTATTTTTATACTTCTAATCATATATACGAAAGAAATAATTTAAAAGAAACAAAGAATCCTTATGACAATATATTTATTGCAGAGCTATTTATGTTTCTAAAAGTACTGGAAACAACATATAGGGCCAGAGTAGGTAAACATTAATATAAATTCAGTTTGGTTCATAACATGGGAAATTATGCAGCCATTATAATGTTTACAGAACTATACCAGAACATATGCTCGTGTTGCCATATTAAGTCAAAAAGTAATAATATGTACTATTATTATATAAAATTATATATACTATGATTTCCACTGTGTAAAAAATATTCAAATACAAAAGGTTGAAAGTAATACATCAAAATATTAATGCTTATTCTTGTGTAAAGAGAATTTTTTTCTATTTCTTTGAACTCTTACTACTATAGTATAAGTTTCTTCATAATTAGAAGCAATTGATAAACAATAAACTAATATGGGCATTATTAAGCTCCAGAAGAAGAGGAAGTTCAGGGAAATTTAAAAATTGCCTATATGTTTACAGATTAAATCTCAGAGGAAAGTAAACTTTTAAAATAATACTGAAACTAGAGTGTTGGCAAAAAAATATTTTTGATTCATTGCTGAGTTGTTCCTCCTGTATACTAGCAGATCTGATAAGACTCTAAAAGTCTTCAAAACTTCTATATCAAAAGCATCTTTTCACCTGCTAAATCAACCTGAAATTTGAAAAAAAAAATGTTCATGATTTTTTAAAATGTGCCAGTCTATGTACCACCTTTAGAATGCTTGCCATGGTAGCTGATATTCCAGTAATATATCACTGTGCTGTGTCACCTAGTGAAGACAGCCTGATGAGAGATCACTTGCAAGACATTGACTGGTTTCACTATTGAGTATATCCTTGACACCTAGCAATCACTGGTGAAGACATTTTCTAAAAAAAAAAAAAGACTTTCATAAGAAAAAAGCCATGGTTTAATTTAAATGCTATATTATTTTATCCTAAGAGAGAGAAACATTAGCAAAAGTATGTATAACACAGAGGATACCTGATAATATAAAGAATGTCCACCATGAAGCACGATCCTAAAAATGGAACTGAAGTTTAGACCATCAGCTGAGTAGAAATCATTCCAAGCAGATGAGAAACAATCATGAATAGGAAGGAATTCCATAGTCTTCCTAGCTAACCCATTTTATTCTGAATATACACCATAGAAAGGAGGCTATTCTTTAAATAAAGTCAGTGAGTTTTACTTACTGATTTATATCGTCTCTCTCTCTCTCATGTGGGACAACAAAGGGACCTTAGTGACAAGGAAATAATGTCTTCCCATACATGGATAGGATTTGGGAATGTATATTAACTTCCAAAGTTAATATAGATAATATTTATAAGGACATATATAATAAAAGAGAAACCAGTTTTACTATATAAATTACATTGAGACAGCAAACTAGTGCCATTTGTAATATGAGACCTGAAATATAGGTAGATGGTAGATTAGATTGATAGATAGATAGATAGATAGATAGATAGATAGATAGATAAATCTTCACCCCCCAAATAAAAAGGATCTCATGTCCTGGGAAGTGACAACCTAGAACAATTCAAGGAACCACTAATAGCTCCACTAATAGCTTTTCATCCACAAGGATACCATGGGGAGTAGAGATAAGGTTTTCCCTCAGAGGTAGCTGGGAAAGGATCTCCATCATTGCCGAGGTCCTTGCTCTGACTTTTGTCTCTACTTCTTTCTGCTTTTCGGTTTCTTTTTCTCTTAAAAACTGGCTTCCTCATAGAGAGAGCAGTATGGACTCTAGCAGTTCCCAAGCTCCCTTCTGACTGTCCCACCACCACGCCAACTCCTTCTTAGTTCTTTTTTTTTTTCTTTTTACTTTAAATTTCGTGATACATGTGCAGAACCTGCAGGTTTGTTACATAGGTAAATGTGTACCATGGTGGTTTGCTGCACCTGTTAATCCATCACCTATGTATTAAGCCCCAGATAGCTATTTGTCCTGATGCTCTCCCTCCCTTCGCAACCACTGATTGGCCCCAGTGTGTGTTTTTCCCCTTCAGAACCTGCAGGTTTGTTACATAGGTAAACGTGTGCCATGGTGGTTTGCTGCACCTTTTAATCCATCACCTAGGTATTAAGCCCCAAATAGCTATTTGTCCTGATGCTCTCCCTCCCCTCACAACCACCAGCTGGCCCCGGTGTGTGTGTTTTCCCCTTCCTTTGACTATGTATTCTCATTGTTCAGCTCCCACTTATGAGTGAGAAAATGCGGTGTTTGGTTTTCTGTTCCTGTGTTAGTTTGCTGAGGATGATAGCTTCCAGCTTCATCTATGACCCTGCAGAAGACATGATCTCATTTCTTTTTATGGCTACATAGTATTCCATGGTGTATATGTACCACATTTTCTTTATCTAGTCTATCATGGATGGGCATTTGGGTTGGTTCCATGTCTTTGCTATTGTGAATAGTGCTGCAGTAAACATATGTGTGCATGTATCTTTATAACAGAATAATTTATATTCCTTTGGGTAAACACCCAGAAATGGGATTTCTGGGTCAAATGGTATCTCAATGATGCAGAAAAGGACTTGATATAATTCAAAATCCATTCTCGTTAAAAACTCTCAATAAACTCGGTATTAATGGAACACATCTCAAAATAATAAGGGCTAATTTATGGCAAACCACAGCCAGTATCATACTGAATGGGCAAGAGCTGAAAGCATTCCCTTTGAAAACTGGCACAAGACAAGGATGCCCTCTCTTACCATTCCTATTCAACATAGTATTGGAAGTTCTGGCCAGGGAAATCAGGCAAGAGAAAGCAATAAAGAGTATTCAAATAGGAAGAGAGGAAGTCAAATTGTCTCTGTTTGTAAATGACGTGATCCTGTATTTAGAAAACCCCATCATCTCAGACCAAAAGCTCCTTAAGCTGATGAGTAAATTCAGCAAAGTCTCAGGATACAAAATCAGTGTGCAAAAATCACAAACATCCCTATATTATCAAGAATAGAGAAGCAGAGAGCCAAATCATGAATGAACTCCCATTCACCATTGCTACAAAGAGAATGAAATACCTAGGAATCCAGGTAACAAGGGACATGAAGAACCTCTTCAAGAACTACAAACCAATGCTCAAGGAAATAAGAGAGGACACAAACAAATGGAAAAACTTTCCATCCTCATAGATAGGAAGAATCAATATCATGAAAATGGCCATACTGCCCAAAGTAATTCATAGATTCAATGATATTCCCATCAAACTACCCCTTAGTTCCAATGTGCAGATTTCTGGGTAGAATTCTAATGAGCCCAGTTTTGCCCATTATTTCTCTCTGATTTCATCATCTATGGCCAGGCTGGCAGGGTCACTCCCAGAGCCGGGTTCTCTGTGGATTGAAACACTACAAGGAAAGGTTTTCTATTTGATTGTTTTTGGTCTCTCATCTCGACTCACTGCAATTCCACCTCCCGGGTTCAAGCAATTCTCCTGCCTCAGCCTCCCGAGTAGCTGGGACTACAGGTGCCCTCCAGCACACCTGGCTCATTTTTGTATTTTAGTAGAGACAGTTTTCACCGTGTTGGTGAGGCTGGTCTCGAACTCATGACCTCAAGTGATCTGCCCACCTCAGCCTCCCAAAGTGCTGGGATTGCAGGCATGAGCCACCATGCCCGGCCTCTTCTTTAGTCTTCTTGTTATCAGGAATAAATTTTTGGAACAAGATGCGTTTGCCTCATACACAAAATTCCTCCACCCTCTGTTATATGGTAAACATATTAACCCTATGATAAAAGCATGAAGATGCCTGTCCAAAGTTTTACCTTTATTTTTCAATAATACAAGTCCTGTTTTGTTTCCTAACACTTACCCAGAAGTCCATGGAATCAGCACTCGTCAACCTTTCCACATGATGGCACAAATAAAGTGACAGTATTTATAAGGTACACGGGGGTGATCCGACTAGCACGTGAGCAACCTGACATATGAGGCCCAAGTGTTGCCGCAGCCAAAGCAGAGGAGATCACTGTCTAGCAACTCTGTGGCATCTCCATCAGCTGCAACCCATCATGCATCACTTGAGGTGTTGTTAGAAATGCAAATTCTTGGGCCCTACTCTAGACCTAATGAATCAGAAACTGGAAGCATGGCCCAGCAATCTGCATTTAAACAAGTTCTCCAGGTGATTCTGACATATGCTAATATTAGAGAACCAATAAACCAATATACTATGGAATACTAACAGGGAAGCTCTGCACTAAATTGCCCTCAAGAGTCTTTCTATAAGACAAGATGATTGAAAGATGGCTAAGGAGTCAGGAGGAAAATATCTGGAATGACAGACTGTTAGAATCAGGGGTGGGTGTTCAAAATTCCTCACACCCAATAAGACATGCTCACCAATCAATGGTGACCATTCCAACAGTCAGAATGGACACATGCAGGTGTGTACTGCTTGAAAAGACTCCCTTAAGACTGCAGGGCAATTCTGCTCTATTTTCCATGATTTTTGTGGGTATGCACTAGAATTGGCCCTGGCTTGTCCAGGTTCTATTGTCTAACTGTGCCAACCACTCATGAGAATTTGACAGCTAAGATATCACAGATAATCTTACAAAATCAAATCTTCCTTCATGGGATCCAAGGAGGTAACCAATGGCCCAAAACACTACGTTCTCCATGAAGTATTTCTATATACTTAACTCAAAATATTAATAATCCACAAAAAGAGATATATTAATATTGGGAAGTCACAAAACATCATCCTAACTTCTCTATAACGGTGTGATTTTGTTAAGAATGAAAGCTCGCACCACGTAAACCCAAAGCAATTCATGGCCAATGGCTTTTGCAAATGAGTAAACAGTTGAGAGATAATACATTGGTGACACTGTGTGTACATATTGATTAATGTCTTGCCTGATTCCAAGTTTATTCACAGAACATAAGTATATACAATACACTTTATCTAAATTTACTCTGCTTTACACCCTGCTTTCCTTCTTTTTACAACTACACACAAACTTTTGTCATGTGAGCTATATGGGCCACTTTGTAAGAAATATCTGATTGATAAATAAAACCATATAAAATATTCAAAACACCAAAAGAAATATAGCAAGCACTTCCATCTTAGTCCTTCCATCTTAGTCTATTTCTGTTCCTATAACAGAATACTTGCGACTCAGTAATTTACACTTAAAAAAATATTTCTTAGTCCTTCCATCTTAGTCCATTTCTGTTCCTATAACAGAATACTTGCGACTCAGTAATTTACACTTAAAAAAATATTTCTTACAGTCCTGAAGGTTGGAAAGTCCAAAGGTAAGGGCCCCATGTCTGGTGAATGCCTTCTTGCTGGTGAGACTCTCTGCAGAGTCTCAAGGTGGTGCAGAGCATGATGACAAGGGGTGCACTGGTACCAAGTTGGCTTTTACTAGAGACCCACTCTCATGATAAGTAAACTACTCCCATGATAACCAATTAATCCCTTAACCCAGTGAGGCATTAATTCATAAATCCATTGATGGATTAATCATTCATGACAGTAGAGCCCTCATAACCCGATCAGTTCTTAAGGGCCCCACCTATTAATACATTGGGGATTAACTTTCAACATGAATTTCAGACAGAACAAATGTTTACACTTTAGTGCCATCCCATTCAAGTTATAATATTTATAAATCTGGGTACCCTTCATACTAGCCTCCTCACCTCTAAGAGCCAAATCCCAAAAGTAAGTAAGCCGGCTGTGTTCTGAATGTAGTTTATTCCCTTCAAAACTCATGTTGAAGTTTGGTTCCCAGTGCAACATTGTTAGGAGGAGGGCCCAAGTGGGAGGCATTGGGGTCCTGAGGGCAGATCTCTCATGAATAGATTAATTCTGTCTTGGTGAGTAAATGAGTTTTCACTTTCACAGGAATGGATTCGTTCCCATGAGAGTGGGTTGTTATAAAGTGATGTTCCTCTTCCTGTTTGGTCTACCTTCACATGTCCACTTCCTGTTTTATCTTCTGCTGTGTTATCACGCATCACAAAAGCCCTCACAAGAAGTTGAACAGGTGCCAGCACCATGCTTTTGGACTTAACAGCCACCAGAATCATGAGCCAAATGAACTTCTTTTCCTTACAAATTTCTCAGCCTTAGGTATTCTATTATGGCAACACCAAAAAGACAAAGATAGAGCCCAAAGTGATGCATATTTCTCTAAAAATTAAAGACTTTCAGCTGTGTCATCATTGGGCTTTCCCCTGTATTCATCTTACATTTTTTACAATTGAGCTTTAATTTTGAGATTATTATGGATTTATATGCATTTGTAAGAAATAATACAGAAAGATCACATGTATCCTTTTCCCTGTTCCTCCAGTGAAATATTTTGCAACACTACAGTACAGTATCACAACCAGGATGTGGACATGGATACACTCAAAATACAGAACAATTCCATCATCACAGAAATCCCCCTTGCTACTGTTTCACAGCCACATTCTCTTCCCCAACAATGCCAGGCAGCAACTGACCTATTCTTCATTGCTAAAGCTTTACCATTTTGAGGAATAATATATTATGTAACTTTTGGGGATTGGCTTTTTATACTCAGCATAAATTACTTGAGATTCATTGAAGTTATTGCATATATCAATAATTTGTTCCTTTTGACTACTGAGTAATGTTCCGTGGTATGGATGTATCAAAGTTTAGCAATATACTTAATGAAGGATATCTGAGTTGTTTCCACTTTGTGTATACTCCACAAAGCTGCTACAGACATTTGCGCAGAGTTTTTATGTTTGTTTGTTTTAGACAGAGTTTCGCTCTTGTTGCCCAGGCTGGAGTACAATGGTGCAATCTTGGCTCACTGCAACCTCGACCTCCCAGGTTCAAGTGATTCTCCTGCTCAGCCTCCCGAATAGCTGAGATCACAGGCACGTGCCACCACACCCAGCTAATTTTGTGTTTTGAGTAGAGACAGGGTCTCACCATGCTGGCCAGGCTGGTTTCTAACTCCTGACCTCAGGTGATCCATCTGCCTCGGCTTCCCAAAGTGCTGGGATTACAGGCGTGAGCCACTGCACCTGGCCCAGAAGTTTTTTGTTTCTGGGTTTGTGTGTGTGTGTGTGTGTGTGTGTGTGTGTGTGTGTGTGTGTGTATACAGAGTTTTTATTTCTCTGGGATAAATTCCCAAGTGTGCAACAACTAGGTTATATGGTACTTACATGTTTACTTGTATAAGAAACTATCAAACTGTTTTCCAAAGTGTCTGTACTATCTTACATGCCTACCAGCAATGTAAAATTAATCTAATTTCTCTGCATGCCTATCAGCATTTGGTGTTACCACTATCTTTTTATATTAGTCATTCTACTAGGTACTCAATTAAGACAATGAGGGCTATCTCATTGTCATCTCAATTTGCATTTCCCTAATGGCTAATGATATTGATTTTTTTTTAATTTGCTTATTTGCCATCTGTATATTCTCTTCATTGAAATGTCTCTTGTCTTTTACCCAATTAGGTCTTTGTTTTTCTTTCTGTTTTTAACTGTTGAGTTTTGAGAGTTCTTTATATAGTTTAAATACTAGTCCTTTGTCAGATATGTGGTTTGCAAATATTTTCTTCCAGTCTATAATGTGTTTTTTCAACCACTTAACAGTGTGTTTCTTTTGTGGAGTAAAGATTTTTAATTTTGATGAGGTCCAGTTATAAATTTTCCCCCCAAAATAGTTATGCTTTTGGTGTCAGTCTAAGAACTCTTTGACTAGATCTGAAATCTTTCTCCTATTCTTTTTCTAAGTTATATAGCCTTATGCTTAACATTTAAAACCATAATGTATCTTGAGTTATTTTCTTATATAGTGTGAGGCTTAATTTTTCCCCTTGCATGTCCATTTATTCTAGCAGCATTTGTTATAAAGGCTATCCTTTCTCTATTTAATTGCTTTTCCACATTTGTAAAAATAGTCAACTGAGCATATTTGTGTAGATTTATCTCTTCTGTTCCATTGATCTATATCTACCTCTCTGCCACTACCACACTGTCTTGATTACTATAGTTATATTGTAGGCCTTAGTATCTGGTAGAGTGGTCCCTCTCATTTTTTTCTTCCTTTTCAATATATAGTTTTTCTTTTTCAATAATAGTTTTAGTTACCTTGCGCCTCTATCCATATAAATTTTGGAATAAGTTGCTTATGTCTTCAAAAAGCATTGCTGAGATTTTGAAATTGAAAAAATTTTCAACAACATTTAGAAAATAAAACACGGAATCCTTCCAAAAGAAACAAAAATAGAACATAATTTTTGAAAAAAAAAGAGTGAACTTTTTAACATTCTGTTCAATCTGGGTGTCCGGTATTTTAATTGATTGTGTGGATATAGCATTTCTTGCCTTAAGTCTCCAAATGTATGTTCTATAGCAGAGTCTTCATATTTTTTACAGGTTGTAGAAACAGAAAGAATATGTGACACAGGCCATATGTAAGGCCACAAAGCCTGAAACATATGTGTCTCTTTACAGAAAAATCTCACTGACCTGTGTCCTGCAGTGTCACACATTTGCATTAGCGAGAATAAAAGGAAATAAATTGTTACAAACTTAACAGTATAAGTCCTTTAATAATAACTAAATTCACCAATATATAAACTTCTCTTTCGTCAAGTGAAAATCACCAAGTAAATAAATCTGTAAGCTGCTGAATGTAATACATTAAAATTATGTTAACAGAAAATGTAAATTTCTAATTTAATGTAGTTTTGTAGACTGAAAAGATCTACCCTACTTATATACAAGGTATTATTATCATTCACTTTATTAAAGCAAGAGAGTGTTACGAAGGCAGAATAGAGTACTTCTAACTACATAGATTCGTGAGCCAAGTGCTTTGAGTTTGAATCCCAGCTTTGCCCCTAACTATCTGTGTTCTAAAGCAAGTATCTTAACTTCTCTGAGCTTCAATTTCTTCAGCTGTAAAATGAAGATAAAGACAGTATCTATATTAGAGTGTCATAGCAAAGATTAAACACATGAAGAGTATTACAGTGGTTAAAACAGTTTCCTATGTAATGGGTCTTTCCTAGCAATAATGTCGTTATTTATATGCCACACTATTTATTCGTTGTTAACATGGTCCAGAAATCAACAACTTATTCATGTCAACAAAATCTTAGGAGCTGATTTTTTTCATGGTACTTTTTATTTATAATATTTAAATTAAAGGCTGTGACATCATTATTCATTGAACAGATATTGGTTAATAAACTAGCACAGCAGGCCGAGCACGGTGGCTCGTGCCTGTAATCCCAGCACTTTGGGAGGCCGAGGCGGATAAACCACCTGATGTCAGTAGTTCTAGAGCAGCCTGGCCAACGTGGTGAAACTCTGTCTCTACTGAGAAGACAAAAAATTAGCCGGGCGTGGTGGCGGGCGCCTATAGTCCCAGCTACGTGGGAGGCTGAGGCAGGAGAATCGCTTGAGCCCGGGAGGCGGAGGTTGCAGTGAGGCGAGATGACGCCACTGCACTGTAGCCTGGGTGACAAAAGTGAGACTCTGCCTCAAAAATAAATAAATAATAAAGAAAAAATAAAAATAAACTAGCACAGCAGTAGGCACTGTGAGGGGAAGCTATGGTAAAACATACAGGTCTTGCCTTCATTAGAACTTCACAAAGGGTATCCTTGAAATTAGTACGGGGTTAAACCTGAATATGTTACTCAATATAAAGGCTTGTAAATAACACTTCTGTAACATCTACTTGCCAACATATATGTTACAATACAGTTAAGTATATTCATATCAACAAAATGGATTTTTATTACCCATAAACCAGAAATCATAAAAATATAAGCAGAAGACTAAAAGGAAATTGCTCTGTGAATATGGAAATACAAAAAGGTTAGACTTTTTCTTTGCAACGTGAAACATTACCACAAGCTCCATGCTACAGAGATAAATCATAAACCTTCTAATTGTGGCACAAAGTTATTATATAGAATTTTTATATGAAAATGGTGAAGTAGACATGAAAAAGAATGGCTGATTTGTTATCAAGTTTATAAATTGCACCCGTATAGGAAAACAAATTTATGACTATCAAAAGTTACACCGAGCTGATAAATCAGAGTAGGGAGGCAAACTACATATTTTCAGAGCAGGTTGAATCCCCCAGGGTTACCCAACTGCAGGCTAAAATGCAGTTAAACACAAGAATAAGGATTTTTTTCTATAGTCATTTTTAGTATATTTGCTTGCCTCTCAAACTCACATCTAATAACCCTTTTAAGCTTGGTTCATTATTTTTAAGAGCTCAAATGTTATGTGTGCTTTATGTAAGAGAAAAGGAGACCTTTCACTCTTCCTCCTTAACCTGTGCCCATTATCCAGTCATCCATTCTGATCAATGTCTTTATATGAAAGAGCTAAAAAACTTTTCCAGAAAAACATCTTTGAATTATGAAAACGTAGGAAATATATATTTGTAAAAAGACAATTTCAAGTGAATATCTCTAACATTTCCTACAAGATATTAACGTTTTTGTAAACCAATGAATGAAAAGATACATGACATTACGTTTCTATAAAATTCCTTCCATTCCAGATAAGCTACTCCGCATAAGAAGTACTAGAAAGATTTAAATAAAGTTTCCAAAGTGTTATTTCCTATTAATTACATATCTTTTGTCACTAAAATCTTTAACTTTTCTGGCCAGAAGGCACGAGGCTGCTGACACTAGCATACAGTCAGAGCTAAACCAGATGGAGAGGGTTTTCAGATTTCTGCATATATTAAACAATAATATTCCACTTGAGATATCCTTTGCCTTCGTGCTTCATAAATACTTCATTGGGCTATGACAGGAATCCTAACTTCTCTGTGGTGGAAAATACCTCCCAACCCGCTACATCTCTAGACAAAAGTCCCTCAATCTGGCTTTTGCTTAAACATAATATATTTAATCCTATACCAGAGTCATACCATGTTCACTTTGAAGAACTCAAGGAGAATTAATGCATGGAGGAGTACTAATAAAAAGTTTAATGATTTAAAAAGCACCAAATTTCACTTTGCTTTAAAAATACAATTTTAAGTTTTTAAATACGTGAAATTTTTTTATAATAAAGTAATTAAATGTCTTCATTAGGCATAGAATTGTTATTGAACTGAATTTCCATGGTTTGTCAGACATTTAATGATCAAAGTTCATTTGACCTAAATTACTTAATGATAGCTAAGCACATTAGAAGATTTCTTTTTATTTGTAGAAGCATCCTCTTAAGCCTCAAATCTTTAAAAGATATTTTTCTGTCACTAAATTGGAGGTAGAGTAACTACACAGTAATTCGTTGAAGTATCTGTATACACTTAACACCATAAATGCAGAGAAGCATAACAGAAAGTAATTACAAGTCTGTATTTACATCCTGATTGTATTAAGACAAAGCATATTGTAGAAGCAAGTGGTAACTACATAGTTTGCATTTAAGAAGTTATCAGTCAGGCAGCTGTCATTCTGGTTACGTTAAGGCAGACACACGGCAAATGTAAATTACTTTTCACCTCATTGATCAGAGTCAAAAAATGTGCTTAAAAGTAAACAAAACCACCATGATGCTTCACTCTCCATATGATAAAAGTCAACAGTTGGCATAACTGCAGAAGAAAAGTGAAGAATTAAAAACATAGGCAACTCACTCTTCATTCTTAGGCAAATAATTTTCAGAAAGTCAATTCAATTAACCAAATATTTACTAAGTGCCTGCTATGGGGAAGGCAGAGCAAGCCCCTCTTCATTTAAAAGTTTATACTCGGCCGGGCGCGGTGGCTCACGTCTCTAATCCCAGCACTTTAGGAGGCTGAGGCGGGCGGATCAGGAGGTCAGGAGATCAAGACCATCCTGGCTGACACGGTAAAACCCCGTCTCTACTAAAAATACAAAAAATTAGCCAGGCATGGTGGCGGGCGCCTGTAGTCCCAGCTACTCGGGAGGCTGAGGCAGGAAAATGGCGTGAACCCAGGAGAGGGAGCTTGCAGTGAGCTGAGATTGTGCCACTGCACTCCAGCCTGGGCGACAGAGTGAGACTCTGTCTCAAAAAAAAAAAAAAAAAAAAAAAATGTATACTCTAATAAGTAGGGAGTAGAGAAAAAGGAAGCAGGGAGAGAGCTGATATGAGATTACCAATAACTACATAACACATGCACAGTGCCATGAAAATTCCAAGGACGAAGTGATCTTTAATACTGAAAAACAGTGGGTAAGTGTAAATAGCTAAATCAGATCCTCAGTCTAAGTTTTAAGAAAATAAGGGCAGTGTGGTATAGAAGACTTGCCCTTTTATGAGTAGGTCTGGTTAGGCTATAGGTAAACCTTGAATCACATATCAACCAGGAGTCCACAGTAGGCCTATTGACTACTGAGTTAACAACCCTGAATTAACAAATCTGATTTTTTCATCTCATGAAGTCCCTGCCAAATAACACACTAACATCACTTTAAGCTTTTTGGTTCTATGAAAATTATGGACTAAAATAAAAAAAAATCTACCCAACAATTCCTGTATCTATGGGTCTGATCATCCACATTTTCAAACAAAAATATAACTAGAGTGAGTTTTTATGGAGATGGACGTAAATCCCTCAACCACATATCTTTAATGATTATTAACTTCAGAATCACCTGGCACAATCTCCCTTTTACTGATACTGGTTCTGGGTTTTTTAACTCAATTTAGTGTATAAGTTGAAGTGGTTCTTTTCAACATGCCATCCATCTGGCCAAAAATGATTGTCTAAAGATTTCAATAAGTTGACTGCGTCAGAGAGTTAGGTTTAGCTACCTGTAAAGAGTCGAAATATCAAATAACAGAGGTATAGATAACAGAGATGTGGCTTTTGCTGTCGTGTAACAGCCTAGAGGCAGCCAATCCAGACCTGGAAATGCAGTCCTGAGACACAGGGTTCATAAGTACCCAGAATCCTTCCAGTTCATCACTCTAGGACACCATCCATGACCTAGGATGAAAGTACCTTTATATAAGAAAAAAGGGAACCTTTTCTTACCATCACATCCAAATTCCAGAAAGCTACAAGGGGAAAGAAATAAAGAGGATGAGGCAAAGAGCATCCATAAGTTATCATCCAGAAAGTTTCTTGAAGACTGTCACACAGCACATGTGCATCCTATTTCATCTTATTAAGCCGATCTGAGTCACCTGGCCACCCATAGCTAAAAGGAAGCCTAAGATGTGTCGTCTTTCTTCCAACTGGCCCTGTGTCAGCAAAACATCAAGGCTTGCACTAGAATGAAGGGGAGAATGGATATTGGCCTCTTCCATGTTGGCTGAAAAAGTTACCATAAAGCGACAAGTATCTTTGTCCGATGGCCTTTTCATAATCAGTAAAGTGCACTTTCCTAAGTTAACAAATTATTTGGGAATTTTATCCAGCAATTTCACTCCTGGGAATATGTTCAGAGCAAAAACAAAGTATAAAAAATGCTGAATGCACAAAGATGCCTAGGCACAGTGTTATAACAGGGAAAAATAGGAAAGTTAAATGACCAAAAGTAGACAAATAGTTATGTAATATTTATGCAAGGAAAAAAAAGCAGCTTTTCTGTATACTCAGGGTCAATACAGAACACTTCTGTGATCAAGTATGTGGGGGGGTTTTCTCTTACCAACTAATTCCGCCGCTCTCCAGACACCATCTGGATTTCCTAAAATTCAGTTCAATCTGACACCATCTGCTTGGGGTTAGTGCAGATTCCGTAGGTTAGGAGGGCAGTCCCATAAGTCTGCCCCCTCTTCAGATGCCAATCTAAAGCTTAGGTTGTGACCTGTGCCTCTGGCCAACCAGCTAAAAATCGGAGGCTCCCACAGTCCTCTTTTGTAATTGATTATTTGCTAGAACAAGTTCACAGGAAACCAGTTACATACTGGATCACTCATTTATTATAAAAGGTTACAACTCAGGAATAGCCAGGTGGAATAGGTGCCTAAGACAAGGCTTGGAGGAGGGACACAGAGCTTTTATGCCCTCACCAGGTATGCCATCCTCTGGGCGCTCTACTGTGTTCTGTAACCCGTAAGTTCTCCAAACCCTGCCCTTCTGAATTTTTATAGAGGTTCCATTACTTTGGCATAATTAACTAAATCGCTGGCTATTAGTGCTTAACTCAGCCTCCAGCCTCTCTCCTTCCTGGAGGTCATGAGGTAGGGCAAAAAAATCTCAACCCTCTAATCACATAGTTGGTTTCCAAGGCAACCAGCTCCTCATCCTTAGAGACTTACCAAAAGCCACCTAATTAACATAAACTCAGGTGTGGTTGAAAGGGATTGCTTATGAATAACAATAGGTGCTCTTTTCACTTTTTGTTTTGTTCTGTTTTGTTTTGTTTTTGAGACGGAGTCTCACTCTGTCGCCCAGGCTGGAGTGCAGTGGCGCGATCTCGGCTCACTGCAAACTCCGCCTCCTGGGTTCATGCCATTCTCCTGCCTCAGCCTCCCGAGTAGCTGGGATTACTGGCACCCACCACCATGCCCAGCTAATTTTTGTATTTTTAGTAGAGATGGGGTTTCACCATGTTAGCCAGGATGGCCTCGATCTCCTCACCTCGTGATCTGCCCGCCTCTTTTCACTTTTATCAATGTTTTAAGAGCTTTGGCCAGGAGCTGGGAATGAAGGCCAAAATGCAGTCATATGCTGCATAATGTTTAGTCAATGACGGATCAGTTATATGTATGCCTGTGGAGCCATAAAATTATAATGGAGCTGAAAAGTTCCTGTTGCTTAGTGATGTCAAAGCTGTCATAACATTATAGCACAATTACTTTACTTTTAATAAATTTATTGTAGTGTAGCATAAGTCTACAGTTGTGCTAGGCCTCCACATTCACTCACTGCTCACTCACTGAATCACCCAGAGCAACTTCCAGTCCTGCAAGCTCCATTCATGACAAGTGCCCTATACAGGTGGACCATTTTTCTATTTTATGGTGTATTTTTAATGTGCCTTTTCTACAGTTAGATATATTTAGATACACAAGTATTTACCATTGAATCCCAGTTGCCTAGAGTATTCAGTATGGTAATATGCTTTACAGGTTTGTAGCCTAGGAGCAGTAGGCCGTACCATATAACCAATGTGTATAGTAGGCTCTACCATCTGGGTTTGTGTAAGTACACTCTGTAATGTTCACACAACTATAAAATACCTAATGACACATTTCTCAGAAAGTATCCTTGTCATTAAGCAATGTAAAACTGTATATATTTCTTATTATATCACAATATCACAATGGATAGTTGTGCTTAATAAAATAGCATGCAGCAATAAAATAAAAGTAAAATTATGAATTTTATGTAGATTCAAGGACTATATTAAGTGAAGGAGTATATAAAAAGCCTGTCTTAATTAGGGCTGCCATGACAAAATGCCATACACAAGGAGGCTTGAACAACAAATATTTGTTTCTCACAGTTCTGGTAGCTGGAAGTCTGAGATGAAGGTGCCAGCATGGTCGGGTTCTTGGTAAAGGCCCTCTTCCTGGTTTTCCGATGGCCATCTTCGCATTGTATCTTCACATAGTGGGGAATGAAGAGAGAGTCAGAAGAAGCAAACTGGCCCATTTCTAGGGCTCCATCCCCATGACCTAACTACTTCCAAAGGACCGCATCTCCTTAGGGATTAGAGTTTCAACATATAAATTTTGGGAGGACACAACCACTTAGTCCATAGCAATACTTACACACTGCTGTAGTAATTCAATAAGAACATATATGCATGGGAAAAATTTGAAAGGATGTTCACCAAAGTAATACCAATGTCTATTTTGGAGAGGCAGGAATGAGAGTAAGTTTTTTTCTTTTCTCTTGTGTCTCATTTATAATGCAATTTAATATTACAATATAGTACTAATCAAAGGATTATTTGTGTTTTTCCATTTTTCAATCCATGATATGCAAATTGTATTCAATTTTCATGATTCTGTGTAGTCATAGCTTTTAAGTGTAATACCCCATTATAAGTGAAGTTTCAGTTACATCAAATATGAATAACATCATTAGTTAGGTAAATTGAATTCATAAAGAAATAGAACTTTGACTTCTGCCTATTGTATTTACCATACTATTTAACTATTTTTTAAAGAATACTGTTATTTGGAAACTAATTGCTCCTGTTAAAACTTTTGAATCAGTACGATAAACAGTTTTCAGTTTATCACATTTTTTTCTGTTTCATTAATATAAAGGCTTGACTAAATATGAACTGCTCCTGCCAGTGCCGTGTACATCATTAGGGGCCTGGAGATTAACCAGCCCTGCCCAACACAGCCTGCACACATGTGCATCATTAGGGATCTGAAAACAGGCCTGCCCCACCCACTGCCACCATCACAGCAACTCAAGTGCACCATCCAGGGGCCTGGGGATTGATCTTCTCTGTTTATTGTGAACGCACCATCAACAGGCTTCGCAAAAGGCCTAGTTCAGCCAACACAGTGCCCAAGTATGTCACCCAGGGACTGACCTGCTCCACCCATCACAGCCTACATCCATGTGCACATGGATATAGGGGTCCAAGGACAGGTCCTTCCCACAATGCACTGTCCCCACCAGTGACCATGCACATCATTCGGAGGCCTGGGAATTAACTAGTCCCTTCTGCCACAGCCTGTACCCATGCACGCAATCAGAGGCCTGAGGATAGGCCGGCCCTGCTTCACACCACTCTGAGCTAGTGCCCATGTGTCATCAAGGACCTGAGGATTGGCATGCCATGCACACCACCCAAAGGACACACCCACTCACCTGGCCCACTGCTGCCACTGACACCTGAGTAAGTCCCTGAAGTCCCCAAAGTTGGCCATCTTGGACCTGCTACCACTGGTGTCCATCTATGTGTGCTGCCAGGAGGCTAGACTACTGGCACCCTCTACCCACCACCACCACGACCACTGGAGTCCAAGGACTAGACCGCCTGACATCCTTGTTCCCAGAAAAGCCTCACTGTAGCCTCCATTAACAACCACTACCCAAGCCACTAAAGAACTCACAGACACCACTGATGCTGATTACAGCAAAAGAAATCAAATGGAGGCTACACTACTGCATGCACTCAGAATCAAAGCCAAAGCACCTCGCCCAACAAACACCATAGATACACCTATAGGAAAAATTCTATCCTTACAAAAGCCAATTCATAAAATTGGAAGAAGCTAGAGTGATACCAGGTGTGCAGATATCAACGTAACAATACAAGGAATGTAAGAAAGCAAGGAAATACGATACCTCCAAAAAAGAACACAGTAATTCTCCAGCAACAGATTACAACAAAAAAGAAATCTGTGAAATATCCGAAAAGGGACACAGATAAACAATACCTAAATCGGGAAAACAATCTGTAATCTGAATAAGAAATTCACAAGAGGTAAATATCATTGAAAATAAACTAGAAATCCTGGAACTGAAGTATTCAATAAAAGACATAAGATATATAATTGAGACTTTCAACAATAGACAAAAACAAGCATAAGAAAAAATTTCTGAACATGAAGATAAGCCTTTTGAAATTATCCAGTCAGACAAAAATGAAAGAGAAAAATATTTTAAAAAGGAAGAAGAAAGCCTACGTCAAATATAGGACATCATAATGTGACCAGTGTTTCAATCTTAAGTTTTCCAGAAGGTGAAGACATGAGCAAAGGCGTAGAACACCTTTTTAATAAAATTATAGCTGAAAACTTCCCTCAAGTCATGCAAGAGATATAGATATCCAGATTCAGGAAACTCAAAAATCCACAAATAGAATTAACCCAACAGGGTAAATAAGAAATGTTTAAGGAAGCCCTACATCTGGAAGCAAAGGTCACTATCTACCATCACTACACAAAAGGAAAAAACTCCCTTGTAGAGCAGACACACAAATAAGAAAGAGAAAGCACTCAAATATTACCACTACAGAAAACCACCAAACCACAATGATAAACAATGAGAGGAAAAAAGGAACAATGGATATACAAAACATACAAAAAAAATTTTTTAAATGGCAAGAGTAAGTCCTCATCTAACAATAATAACATTGAATATAAACAGGTTAATTTACCCACTTATAAGATACAAACTGGATGAATGGATTTTTTAGAAGACCAACAATGGGCTGCCTACAAGAAACTCACTTCATCTGCAAAGACACATATAGACTGAAAGTGAAGGAAAAAGATATTCCACGCAAACAGAAACCGAAAATGAGCAGGAAGAGCTATACTTATATAAGATAAAATAGACCTTAATTCAAAAACAGTAGAAATGGAAAAAGAAAGTCATTATATAATGATAAAGGGAACAATTTCACAAGAGGATACAATAAATATACGTGTTCCCAGAGCACTGGAGCACCCAGATAGATCAATCAAATATTATTAAATCTAAAGGAAGTGATAGACTTGAATACAATAACAGTTGGTGACTTCAACACCCCACTCAGCATTGAACAAATCATCTAGACAGAAAATCAGAAAAGAAACATCGGATTCAAATTGTGCTTTAGACCAGATAGACCTAATAGACATTTACAAAGCATTCCATCTAACTGCTGCAGAACACACAATCTTCTGATCAGCACATGAAACATTCTGCAGAATAAATGTTAGAACACAAAAGAAGTCTCAACAAATTTTAAATGATCAAAATCACATCAGGCATCACAATGGAATAAAACTAGAAATGAATAAGAACAAGAACTGTAAAAACTGTTCAAATACATAGAAATTAAACAACATGTTCTTGAATGACTGTTGGGTCAATAAAGAAATTAAGAAAGAAATAAAATATTTCTTAAATAAAAATGGAAACACACTGATATGGATTGGCTCTGTGTCCCTACCCAGATCTCACCTTAAATTATAATACCCATAATCCCCACATGTCAGGGGAGGGACCGGGGGGGAAGTGATTAGATCATAGGGGCAGTTTTCCCCATGCTGTTCTCATAAGCCCTGATGATTTTATAAGTGTTTGGCAGTTCCTTTTCCTCTCTTTCTTGTCACCTTGGAAGAAGGTGCTTGCTTCCACTTCACCTTCCACCATGATTGTAAGTTTCCTGAGGCCTCCCCAGCCATGTGGAACTGTGAGTCAATTAAATCTCTTACTTTTATAAATTACCCAATCTCATGGAAGTTCTTTATAGCAGTTTGAAAATGGACAAATAAAACAACATAACAAAACCTATGGGATACAGCAAAAACAATGCTAAGAGGAAATTTTATAGCAACAAACACATACATCAAAGAATACAAAGATGTCAAATAAACAACCTAATAATGCACCCCAAGGAACAAGAAAAGCAAGAACAAAGCAACACCAACATTAGTAGAAGGAAAGAAATAATAAAGATCAAAGCAGAACTAAATAAAATAGAGGCTTAAAAAAAAAACAAAAACAAAGGACAAATCAAACCAAAATTTTATTTTTTGAAAAGATAAAATTGATAAACTGCTAGCTATATTAACCAAGAAAAAAAAAACAGAAAAGACCCAAATAAACAGAATCAGAAACAAAAAAGAAGACATTACAATTGATACCACAGAAATACAAAGGATCATCAGAGACTGTTAGAAACAACTATGTGAAAACAGATTGGAAAATTTAGGAGAAATGAATAAATCGTGAACGTATACAAGCTACCAAGATCAAACCAAGAAGAAAAAAGAAACACAAACAGACAAATAGCAGGTAATAATTTAGAATCCATAAAAAAAAACAAGAAAAAAAATTCTCCCAACAAAGAAAATCTCATGACCAGATTACTTTACTGCTTAATTCTACCAAACTTGTAAGGAAATCCTAATACAATTCTTCTCAAACTATTCCAGAAATTTTAAAGTACAGAATTCTATAGGGCTAGCATTACTATGATACCAAAACCAGACAAGGAAACACACACACACACACACACACACACACACACACACACACACAAACTATAGGCCAGTAGCTCTGGTGAACATAGACAGAAAAATCCTTAACAAAACACTGGTAAACTGAATCTAACAGCACATCAAACATAATACACCACCATCAAGTGGGACTTATCCTAGGGAGCCATCAATGTTCAATATACAAAATTCAATAAAAGTAATACATCATATAGAATGAATGGTGAAAAATGTATGACCATCTCTACAGATGCAGCAGAAGCATTTGGTAAAATTCAACATCCTTTCTCAACATATTAGGCAATATCATTACTCAACATAATAAAGGCCATATATGACAAACCCACAGCTAACACCATACTGAACGAAGAAAGGATGAAAGCCTTTCCTCTAAGAACTGGAACAAGACAAGGATGCCCACCTTCACCAGTTTTATTCAACGTAGTATTGTACATCTTTACCAGAGCAATCAGGAAAGAGAGAAATAAAAGGCATTCAAATTTGAAAAGAGAAAATTAAATTGTCCCTCTTTGCAGATGTGACCTTATGTATAGAAAAAGCTATATAGCTTTTTCTATGTATAAAGGCTCTACCAAAACACTGTTTGAACTGATAAAATAATTTGCTAAGGCTGCAGGATACAAAATCAATATACAAAACTCAGTAGCATTTCCATAAACCAATAACAAAAACTACCTAAAAAAGAAATCAAGGAAGCAACTCTGTTTACTATAGCTACAAAAATGTAAAATACCTAGGAAGGAATTTAACCAAGGAGGCTAAAGACCTCTACAAGAAACTCTACAAAACACTGATGAAATAAATGGAAAAGAATGCAAACAATTGGAAAAACACCATCCTTGTGGAACAGAAGAATTAAAATTGTTAAAATGACCATATTACCCCCCAAAAATCTACAGATTCAATGCAATCTTTATCAAAGTCCCAGTGACATTCTTCACAGAAATAGAAAAAGCAATCTGCAAATTTGTATGGAACCACTAAAGATCACAAACAGGCAAGGTAAATACCAAGCAAAAAGAACAAAGCTGAAACTATAACACTATCAGACTGCAAAATATAATACAAAGCTATAGCAACCAAAACAGCATGGGTATTGGTATAAAAACAGACACACAGACCATGGAACAGGATAGAAAACCCAGAAATAAATGCATGTATTTACAGTCAACTGATTTTTGACAAAGACATCAAGAACACACACTGGTGACAGGATACCTTCTACAATAAATGGTGCTGGTAAAACTTCATGTCCATATGCAGAAGAATAAAACTAGATCCCTATATATCACCAAATAGAAAAATCAACTCAATGTGGATTAAAAACTTAAACATAAGACTCAAATCTATGCAACTAGTAGAAGAAAACGTAGGGTAAATGTTTCAGGACATTGTTCTAGGCAAAGATTTTATGGTACACTGGAATACTATTCAGCCACAAAAAAGAATAAAATATTGTCATCTGCAGCAACATGGATGGAACTGGAGGTCATTGTGTTACATGAAGTAAGCCACACACGGAAAGACAAATATCGCATTTTCTCTCTCATAATTTGGATGTAAAATTTGATCTCATGGAAGTAGTGAGTAGAATGACAGTTGCCAGGGGTTGGGAAGGTTATGGGGGTGGGATGCAGAGAGGTTAGTTAATGAGTACAAACATTTGGTTAGATAGAAAGAACAAGTTCTATTGTTCGATAACACTCGACTGTAACTATGATTAACAACAATTTGTTGTATGTTGTCATATAAGTAGAGAAGATTTGGAATGGTCCCAACAGAAAGAACTGATAAATATTCGAGGTGATGGATATCCTAAATACCATCATTTGATCATTACGCATTGTACTGCGTGTTTCAAAAATCACATGCACCCCATAAATATTTACAAATCTTATATATCATTAGAATTTTTTTTTAATTTTATTATTATTATACTTTAAGTTTTAGGGTACATGTGCACAATGTGCAGGTTTGTTACATATGTATACATGTGCCGTGTTGGTGTGCTGCACCCATTAACTCGTCATTTAGCATTAGGTATATCTCCTAATGCTATCCCTCCCCCCTCCCCCCTCCTCCCACCCCAAAACAGTCCCCGGAGTGTGATGTTCCCCTAAAACCATAAAAACCCTAGAAGAAAACCTAGGCAATACCATTCAGGACATAGGCATGGGCAAGGACTTCATGTCTAAAACACCGAAAGCAATGGCAACAAAAGCCAAAACTGACAAATGGGATCTAATTAAACTAAAGAGCTTCTGCACAACCATCAGAGTGAACAGGCAACCTACAAAATGGGAGAAAATTTTCGCAACCTACTCATCTGACAAAGGGCTAATATCCAGAATCTACAATGAACTCAAACAAATTTACAAGAAAAAAACAACCCCATCAAAAAGTGGGCGAAGGATATGAACAGACACTTCTCAATAGAATTTTTTAATAAAAAATAAAAAGATAGAATGTGATAAATGTACTTTGTAAACATGCTAAATAATAAATTTTCTAAGTGATGTCTACTAGCTATTTAACATTCATGCAAACCACTCATGGGTATATTATTGCTTTTTAGTCACTTACCATGTATTATTCAGTATCAGTGGCCATAATTTATTGGGTTTATGTGGAGAAGATGTCTGTAGCCAAAGTAAATCCAGGAAATGATGGGAACTATTTAAATAATTTAGGCCAAATGATTACTTCCACAGTTTCCTAGACTCTGGACAGCCCTCCTGTGAGCTATATGGATATCTAAATGTGTCCTCCAAAAACAAGGGAAACAAAATGAATCGTCTTTTCCAAATGACCACTCAACAAAGGATATGAAAGTTACATGATACAAGCTGTCAACTGATATTTAACTTTACTAATAATGTTTTTGTACTTTTGCACTTGGGAATAATAGCACACAAAGTGCAAACGTTGTATAAATTAGAAGAACGGTAAAAGAAAAACAAAAATGACTCAGCTCCAGGTTGAATTTCCTCTTTGTAAAACAGGCTGCGAAGATTTTCATAATTCAAAAGAATTCACATATGGGAGCTTTGCTTCTATGAAAGAATTCAGACACCCTGTAGATACCCTATAATGTTCATAACTACCTACAGAATTTGAGCACTAATCCTTACATTGAGAGAGACAGGTTTGAAAGAGAATCGGAGGGTAAGGAGGAGAAGAGAGCCTGTATTGAAAGAAGGACATAGGCCAGGCGCAGTGGCTCACACCTGTAATCCCAGCACTTTGGGGGGCTGAGGCAGGCAGATCACGAGGTCAGGAGTTCCAGACCAGCCTGGCCAACATTGTGAAACCCCGTCTCTACTGAAAATACAAAAATTAGCCAGGCGTGGTGGCAGACGCCTGTAGTTCCAGCTACTCGGGAGGCTGAGGCAGGAGAATCACTTGAACCTGGGAGGTGGAGGTTGTGGTGAGCCAAGATGGCTCCACTACACTCCAGCCTGGGCAACAGACTGAGACTCTGTCTCAAAAAAAAAAAAAAAAAAAAAAAAAAAGAAAAGAAAAGAAAAAGAAAGGAGGACATGGGTTCATACACAATACTATATGCTTCAGTCACAGACTCAAATATAAATCATGTATTTCTATTTAATGTAACTTCGAAAACACCAAGAATTTAAGAAAAACATTCTAAATAGGAAGAGCCACTTAATTGATGGGCAGTCCACTCTCAACTGTGCATATAAGTAATCTCTGCAAGAGAATTTTTATATCCTATTGTTAAGACCCGAGAGAGAATCTTTTCTAGCATTGGCACAGGCATCATTATAGTCACTCGTGTAAACAGAATGCTCCCTGCCAACTCACAGGGGGGTTTCCTGTCTGACTAGTTAGCCAGCCTTCTCCCACCATGAAGAGTATCCTATGTGGACACATCCCGACATTATTAATACACCTCATCATTGTGCCAATTTACAGTGTCGTGTCTTTTATATTCAGTCACATTTTCAACCACATGCATTATTACCGGGCTGCTTAAAAGATTCAACCAGGCTCATAAATGAAAAGTTAGATTATTTTGGATTGACAGTTTTGCCAAAGGAAGAAAATGTGTAACTGCAAGGGAAATATGTTCAAAAGTGATACAGTAGGGAAATTAAAAAGACAAGCTGCTATAAGCAGAGGGGTGATTATTAGGATTATAGTTAATGGGCAGGGCAGAAATGTAGGGAACATAATGATATCAGGGAAGTATGAGAACTGGCTTGTTAGTACTTAATGAGGAAAATGGTTATATTCCCCCGAAGTCCTATCATGCTCCTTTCAGTGACTCTAATTCATTGGCTGGGTTAGTTAATGAGATACTGTGCACTAGTAATTCTAAGCAAAGACCTGTATTCTTATTTTATGATAGCACAGATTGATTGCAGAGTATTCACTGGAGACTGGCAGACGTTTCTGAATGTTTCATATATTTTATTTTATATCTGTGGTGCTGGGATACTGTTCTGTGCTAGGAAAATTGACCCTGAATACTAACTTTAACAGAGAATGTAGCAATTTCTTAAAAATTTTAACTTCATGGTAGTAAAACTTTACATTCAGTCTGAAGAGAAAAAGACTTTTAGTAAACATACGTTTAATACAAATCAAAAACATGTATTCAGTATGAATTAAAAATATTGCATATAGTAACTAAGAAAACTTAGCACAAGTGATTTCCCCCTCAAAAATTATTTATTATGTCCAAGTATTTTCACACCCAGACACACTGTGTTTATGGTTACATGATGTAAATATATGTACATTTCCATTAAAAACAGAAACATCCGTAAAAACCCCAGAAATGATACATTTCTCAGGCAAACAATAAATAGAACAGAAATATAGTTCTAAGCCTTGTCAAGAATTAACAGCTTGTTCAAAAGCAAAAGCTAGTTACTTATTATTGACTGGAATAACCCCACAAAAAATTGCCTAATGGCAATGAACCTACTCAACCCTTGCTGAATATTTTTTTACTTTTTATTTATGTCAGATTCCAATAAAATCTATATATTTTCATAAAGGTAATTTTGAGATAGTTTAAGAGTCAGAAAATATACTTGACTGAATTCTAGCCCCATGGTTTGTGCTTGGTACAGTGCCTGGCATAAATAAGGTATTCAAAATATGTGTGCTATTTTAAAACTATTATTAATATGAACTATAAATTTTATGAAAAAGGAAACTGTAAAATCATATGTGCTGGACATAGGATGATAAAGACCATACCTAGCAAAAAGATTTGGTATGAACTTTATTCGGCCTCAATAAAAAAGCTTCAGTACAGACAAGAAATATGAAGGATGACCATTTATATGTTCAGATATATTTTAAATACTCAAATAGAACGGCTAACTTTCTAGCAATTCATCATGCCTAAGTATAATACATGTTTGTATATAATATCATCAAACACTTCAAATAGAAATAATAATAAATTTGTTGCCCTTCTGAATCGCTTCAAAATTATCTGAATGTAAACATACATTCAGTAGAAATTCACTTTTAATACAATTCATAATTAATGCATTTAAGAATTCACTTCTTTCTTGATTTTTTGAAGTCATATGCTGAGTCAGTTCTTAGTTTTGTAAATCTGTTTAGAGTGAGACATGATATTGCAGTGCTTAAATATATTACCAACCATTGCAGAACTACATGGGAAGATACTTCTGGAAGTATCTTCAAAATGAATCTTAAAATGTTGCATTACCTAAGCACCTCATGGAGCAGAGCCCTCACAGATAGGTAAGCAAGTGTGGAAGCCACAGGACAGCCTCATTGCTCCCAAGCTTAGGCCCTACTGTTATTAGGTGAACCCTATTTCAGGAATGGCATAAAAGTGCTGCTTGCCTTGATGGGAGCAGGGCAAGTGTGTGAGTTTACTCAGATCAGTGCTTTTGGGTGAGGATGCTACTCAATGGTTTGTCATGAATCAAACAAGACTCTAATATCCTCCTCTTACCTAAAACACTGTTATAGGTAGAATTTTCTGCCAAATCATAAAATTCTATTCCCTCCAAGTCCAGCAGATTAGTGACTGTCTCAAATTTTGGTTTCTCTTGGAAAGAGACTCCGAGAGATTTTAAGTTTCCATTTATTGGCTAGTGATCTTAGAATGATTTAGAAAGTGTGAGGGCATCACGATTCAGCAGATAGAGAAGTTGACTGTGGTGCAGTTGTAATAAAGACCACAGCCAATCCTTTGGGGATGCTCTCACAATGTTCTAAATTGAAGCAAGGGGATTCCTGAGGAGCAGTGGGTGGATATAAGCTGTTCCCAGGGAAAAGCACAACCTCAAAAGCAAGTGCTCCCTTCAGCTTAAGGCAATGCCTGGGGAGGAACACCGTTGGGAGCTGTCAGCGAGTTACATTCCCAAGTGCTGGGAGAACGTCGATGTGTTGAGTAGATGGAGAAATACAATTCTTGTGTTTCAATATTAAGCAGGTGGGTTGGATGCCACTAACCAGGACAGGAATTACAGGAAGTGAAATAGGGTTAGAAGTCAGGTGTAGGGATGATTTCAAGGTAGTTGTAAGATGTCAAAGTGGAAATTGCCAGAAGGCACTTATAAATATGGGTCTAGAGTTCCAGGGAAAATTAAGACCCAAAGATCTTAATTTGAGAGAAGGTGAAGGGATTATTTAGGAAGAAATTAAGGAAGAAGAGTCAAGTGATGACTTGGGAGGGTTAATGGCCAACTGAAAAGAATGAATACGAGCCATCAGAAATGTACGAATAGACACAGGAGGGAATGAAGCTAGAAACATCTAGGGAGGTTTCACAACAGGAGTGGTAAATGGAGCAAAGCATTGCATTCGGGAAAACAGAACTGTGTTTGAAACATGTTCATTTGAACTGGAAATTAAAAAGAAATTGTGATCTCATTGCAGACATTTTGATATAGTCTTGGTGAGTAGAAACAAATTGTTCAAGATAGAAAATGAAACCATGGTTTGGAAAATGCTTAATTTTGTGTGGCACAGAAAAATATCTACACCTAGCAAAGAGACAATGAGTATTTGTTGAAAAACAATAGTACGTAGACATAAAAACAAAACATAAAGTAAAAGAAGAAAGAACTTTCTGAAGCTGGAAAAAAAGAATATTCTCTCTAATTTTATGGGATCAATATTTTCTTTTTTTCTCATACTCAGGAGGCTTCCAAACTAGATGGCATTTGGCCATTCCATTTTTGGCTACCTGGGTTACTCAGTTACCATTCAAGAGACAAAGGTAGAAAACACCTTGGCTGGAACAAACTGGCATCATTTTTTTATAACATGATGTGCTGAGAAGGACACATAACCTTCTGTGGTATTCTTGCACAAAATGCATCATCTGAATCTCATCATGAGGAAACATCAGACAAACCAAATTGAGGGACATTCTACAAAATAACTGGCCTGTACTCTCCAAAAATGTCAAGGTAAAGAAAAATAAAGGCTGAGGATGAAAGAAAATTAAAGCAGTATGGCAAATATACACATACATGATGACAAATTGATTCTTCATGGGAAAAACAGCTACAAAAGACATTTATGAAGCAATTGGTGATTATCAGTATATGAACTGTGAATTAGATAATATTGTTGTACCAATGCTCAAATTTCTGATTTTGAGAACTGTCGTGTGGTTATGTAAAAGAAAGTTCTTGTTCTTAAGAAAAATAATTATTTCATGGTAAATAGGCACATCTCCAATTTACTCTCAGTTAAGAAAAAAATTACAGATAGAGTGAAAGAATGATGAAGTAAATTGGGCAAAATGTAAATCAGTGAATCTGGGTAAAGGATATATGGAGCTTCTTATACTATTCTTGCTACTCTTCTATAAGTTAAAAATTATATCAAAACAATAACTTACAGAAATAATCCTATAAAATATAACACAGCATTTTATTTTGAAAGGTAAATTCCTATGCTGGGAATTTTCATTAAATCCAAAAGATGCCAGTGTACTACAATAAGGGTACTGCATAGCGAATGCAAAAATTATTCTGAGGAGACTAGAAAAGAGCTATTTAAAGTTGTAATAGGCAAAGGGAGTATAGGAATGAGCACATTTCAGGTGAACAATGTTTGTGCAGCCTACTGAAACTGTCAGAAAGTAAGTTCATGAAACATGTCAGAAAATTCATCCACATAAAAACTACTCAAACTAAAAAGAGATGAAATGGAATAAGCTCACTGAGCTTTATGAGCTCTAAAATTTATATTGATGCCATTTTCAAAGAAGGGACAGTCACGCATGCTTTTGTTTTCCTTGACTTTGTGAGGTTTGGAAATTGATGTATTCAACAGTACATTGATGTATCCTAATGGTTTGAAAAGAGCTAACATAAGAAAAGACATTCAGGGAGTTACTTAAAAATGGTTGTTGAATAGGACAAGAATCACTGTCTGAAAATGAGAAACTGACAACTTTTCCAAAGAACACTCTGAAAGGTGACATTGACGGATACAGTGCTTTTAACAGGCATTGCTACACTTCACTGGTGTTCATGGAAGTCTCTTCTTTCATGTCTATAACGTATTTTTATCCTCAAAGAATATATTACAAAGAGGCTGAGTTCACTTGTGAACTGGCAGCCACAAGAAGTAAGTTTATTATATTTTAAATATCCAGGTTCCTTTTTAAACATCCAAGGACTGCATGGCTATTTCACAAAAAGATGAAGCTTTTGGGAATACATGACTAAGTCAAATTCAACATAGACCTTGGCACATGGCTGCTCAATTTACCACCTTACCTTTTTTGAAACATGCACATAAACACACACACACACACACACACACACACACAACTTTGTAGTTATAATCTAATATCCTGTAGTGTAGACATCACTCCCATGAAATCAAGTGCTATTAAATATCTCTGTCAAGATCCTAAAAGGAACTAAGGAAAAACAGGAATTTTGTTGAACAGAATGCATGCAAAGTTATAACCAAAGATATCCTCGTATTTTTCTTGTGATTCTTCAGATTTACAACTCAAACACATTTTTATTAAAATAGTCTAACAGATCAAACATTGTCTGACTTAACAGTATCATATTAACCATATTAAGCCAAAACGAGTGTGAGTGACAGTATTTCTCTGGGAACTAGTGTGAGTGTGAGTGTCATGAAAAGCAGGCTCAGTGACAAGTAAACTTTTAAAATATGTCAACTTTGATTCCATTTTTTGAGAAGATAGCATCAACACTATTGACGGTAGTAGGTAGTATATCAAAAGACACTCAATTAGAAAAGAAACCTTTGTAGACTGTTGGTGGGAATGTGAATAGTTCAGCCACTATGGAAAACAATATGGAGACTCTTCAAAAAGCAAAAAACAGAACTACCATATGATCCAACAATTCCACTACTGAGTACATATCTAAAGGAGAGTTAGTCAATATATCAAAGAGATATCTACACTCTCGTGTATGTTGCAGCACCATTCACAATAGCTAAAATATGGAATCAACCCAAATGCCCATCAATGGATGATAGATAAAGAAACCGTGGTATATGTGTATACACACACACACAATGGAACATTATTCAGTCTTTAAAAAACTAAATCCTGTCATTTTCAGCCACATGGATGGAACTGGAGGTCATTATGTTAAGCAAAATAAGCCAATCACAGAAGGACAAAAGTCACAATGTCCTCACGCATATATGGGACCTAAAAAGGTGAATCTTAGGAAGATTGAGAGCAGATTGGCAGTTGCCAGAGGCCACGAAGTGTAGAGTGGAGGAGAGGATAAAGAGATTAATGGGTACAAATTAAATTAAAAAAATAAGACCTAGTGTTCAATAGGATGGCTATAGTTAACAGTAATGTAATATATATTTCAAAATAGCTAGAAGAAAATAATTCAAATGTTCATAGCATAAAAGAAAGATAAATATTTAAGATGATAGATAGCCCAATTACCCTGATTTGATCTTTACACATTTTATGAATATATCAAGTGATCATTTGTTCCGTGAAAATATGTACATTTATTACTCATCAATAAAAAAATAAAGGACTCAATTCGGTACATGAAAAAAATATTGAAGATATTGGTCTTCTTTGCTTGATTTCATGCTTTAATAAAATATAAAGTCAATGTTAAAATGATTTGATAGGTTAATATTAGGATTTTCAATTTTTTATTTAAAACATATGTATAGTCATTTAGCTGAAGAAAATTGAAGGATTGCATTTAAACACTTCTAAATCTTCTCCCTCCTCAGAATTCTATGATTATCTGATTCATTTAATATTCTTGCTGTTTAAACAAATGGGAATTTTTTTTTATATTCCCAATTGTGGGAAAGTTTGCTTTATGCCTCATAAGATTATGTTTATTCTCTCGCTCTACATTCTCCAGCAATGTCCTCAAAAGAGATGTTATGGATATAAGTAATAATTATCATCAGGTTGAGAATATTTCAAGTCTTCTTTTACTTATATAAAATAAAAAGATTGTAATGAGAATATTAATTTTACATGTTATTTACTTGAACTCATCTCAGCAATTATTTTTATTTTTATTTATTTATTTTTTACCTGGAAGTATTGGCTCCGAGGTCATTCAGGCTGCACTGTGATTTTGTGACAAAGGAAAAGAAATGGATTTAAAGGTGCCTTAGACTTGTTCCTTACTTGTGCTTTCTATTACTTTCTCTAGGGAAGGCTGGCAGAATGAAATAAATTTTTTTTCTGCTAAATTTATGCTAGTGAATCACCCTTGCTTTTCAAAAGTTCTCTCTACTTTCAGTTTTTGGAGAAAGAAGTATCTGTGAACTATCTTGTTATAAAAAAAGAATTTCAATTTTCTTGACATTTAAAAATGAGACCACTCAATCGTTTTTCATGTCCCAATTTACATTTTGCATTGTACATTGTCTATATATTTTGCATCCAAATTTCAATATATTATTACTGATTTTACTAGCGATTTATAGGGAAAAAGGCCAAAAGAAAGTGTCAGCTATTAGTGAAGAAATAAATATAATCTGGGGGGGCATGACCAAAAACTTTTTATTTTTAAATGGCTGGCCTAGCAGAATAATATTGGAGTAAAAAAAGGATGTTACTTTTTAATACTATTCACAACATATATCTACTATTTCCAGATATTTACTAACCCTGGGAATTAGTGGCAAGCAATGCATACCTATTATTACATTAAGTTTTTTAATGAAATTGCAGGATTTTTGACTGTGTACTCATGCTCTTTTACTCATAGAGCATGTAGACAATAAAATATGTTTTATGGTGGAAAAAAACATCTTTCATTTTGGAAGATGTCTTGAAGAAATAAGAACATAGATAACTTGCTGTGAACTGTGGGAACTTGGATTTGTTTTGTTTGTTTATTTCTGAGGCTGTCACCAGCTAAGTTGCCATGAACTTGAGTCCAATGTGTTGGATGGTATTCTGAAGTGTGTTTTTCAGAGGTGATTGAAAAAGAATTATTAACACTACCTTTACCATCTTGGGTTCTCTGATTTTTATGCCAGTTTTCTTGCAGTGATATTTCATTCCTGACCAGCATTGACAGGCTACATCATAGCCTTGTATGGGAAAAAGAGGATATTTTATGAATATATTGGAAGAGGATCGAAAATTCAGAAATAATGATAAGGGCCCAGGGCAAAATTCTAATGTAGCTGGAGTTCAGTTTTAGAATCCAATCCCTCCTCTTTTTAGCGTACTTTTCATACTTTTTAATTTTTCCTGCCCCAGATTAGATCATATCATACTTTTCTTCTGTAGCTGAGTCACATCTCATGCACACACACCTCTAAAGTACCCTATTCTCAGATATTCCCCTTCACTCACATCTTAACTTTTCTATGGTATATACCCCTACTTCTTAGCTAGCTGCCATTTAGAAAGCAATGTGATGAAATCATCTTACCAAATGTATTACTGGCTAATAATACCTTAGTTTTCCAATGGCATTTGCATTTAACAGATTTCTCTTGGGAAAAGTAAATTGGAATCTAAAGAAATGAATCACTAGTGATAAAATCTCATGCAGAACTAACAGCAGCTGCATCTGGATGTTTTTTTTCATGTCTCAAGTTATATAACTCTTAGGTTTGACTAAATGCGCCTGAGCAGTGTCTAAATTACTTTTTCCAATAGCTTTTTATTTGTTTAACCTACAGTTAGATTGAGCTTTGTCTGACTTTGGAAGAGCTGAAATATTATATACACATGTATACATAAACCTGCAGTATATTAAATTAATCATAAATATTTTACTGAGCACAATTCTATACCAAAACACAGTGCTAGAATCTTTTTTATATAAAGATTTGCTTTAAAGAAAGCAAATACCGAACTAAAAAAGATTTCTGTCTTAGGAGATTTGCAGTCTGGAAATTCAGCAAGTGTAGCACATTGTGATAAGGGGTATAAAAGGGGGAAAGAAACGTAGATGCTGCTTGGAGAGAACTGGTATTTGAAGTCTTGGAAGAGACCTCTAGACAGAGTAGTGTTCCCTTATTTGTATTACGTAGACACTAGTAGAAAGTGTAAATGTGAACAATTTGAAAGAGTTAGTAACTGCCTATAATGGATGCTGTCATGTGCTGCCCAAATCCCCTTTCAGAAATAAAAGACTTAGTTCCCAGGTACTCGGAGTACCAACAGACAGCCTTCAGCCACAGAGTGTCCATGGTACCACCCTTCTTGGGGCAGCCTCCAATTCATAACCAGTTAGTTCAGAGTTCACCCCAGTTTCAGAGCTTCACATGGGGTTTTCTGCATTGAAACCAACTTCCTAATATGACTTCCTCTCCTTCGCTTCCATGAGTGTTGACAGAGGGAGGACTCCCTAGTAAACTTTAGGAAACTGATCTTCAAGTCATAATTTGCTTCCCAATGACCTCAACTTGTGAGAGCTGGTATCAGAATTGGTCTGAAGAAGAAGACAGTAGATAGAATTTGAGAGTTGGATCACCCCGCCCAGATGGCAATGCCAGACTAAACCCCCTCACCAATGTCAAATGGAACACAGATAGTCCCTGCCATGAGTACAGGGTAATTATCAAACCTTTCACAGGGAATGAGATAGGATTGAATTCCAGTGGAAGAAAATGCACTAGCAGACAAGATATATCAAGCGTTTGAGATAATGAGGAATATAGTAACTATAAGTACAGTGAAATAGGGTGGCTGCTGCAAACTGGTCAAGGAATTTTGTCTACTTGCCTAGTTGTTGTTTAGTGCCTGTTCCATAATGAATGCTTTGAGGTGGTTGTCAACATGAGATATGAAGATTTTGCACTTCCATAGGTCCATTCTCATTTCTTTGTTCTAAACTTTTGTTGTACTCCATCCTCTTTCTTTGCAGCAGCCATTGATTACCACCATTCTCCAGAATGCAATATATGCTTTAAATCAACAGCCTTAGTTGGTGCTGTCCCCCTTACGTAGAATACATGGGTCAATAAACCAAGAGGAGGAAGCAGGTTGACTTTGCTTACTATCACTCTTGGCAGTGCACTTGAGAAATCTGTGCTTCTCCTCCCCACAAATCTGAATTCTGTAGTATTAGGGCTCTCATTCCCAAAGGAAGAATATGTCTGCAGGGGACACAGCAAGGGATTCAATGAACAATAATCTGTGATTGCTTATAGTTCATGACACTTTTATTTTTATTATTATTATTATTTGCTTGTTTGAGAGAGCATCTTACTCAGTCCCCCAGGCTGGAGTGCAGTGGCATGATCATGGCTCACTGTAGCCTCAAACTCCTAGGCTCAAGTGATCTTCCTGACTCAGCCACCTAAGTAGTTAGAACTACATGCAGTCATGTCACATGCCATCATGCCTAGCTAACTATTTTATTTTTGCTTTTTTAATTGTGTGTAGAGACAGGGTCTTTCTATGTTGCCTAGGCTGGTCTCAAATGCCTGGCCTCAAGTGATCCTCCCACCTTGGCCTCCCAAAGTGTTCGGATTACAGGCATAAGCCACAACTTTAGCCTTCTCATTCCAAGAAACTAGCTGGCAAGACAAGGAGTCACCATTCTGGTAGGCCTATTTAAACTGATCATCGAAAGGCTTAGGGATGCTATATCAGTCCGTTCTCATGCTGCTGATAAAGACATACCCAAGACTGGGTAATTTATAAAGGAAGGAGATGTAATTGACTCACCATTCAGCATGGCTGGGGAGGCCTCCGAAAACTTACAATCATGACAAAAGGGGAAGAAAACATGCCCTTCTTCACATAGTGGCAGCAAGGAGAAGTGCCAAGCAAAGTGAGGGAAGCCCTTTATAAAACTAACAGATCTTGTGAGAACTCACTCCTTACCATGAGAACAGCGTAAGGGTAACGGCACCCATGATTCAATTACTTTGCACCGGGTCCCTCCCATGACACAAGGGGATTATGGGAACTACAATTCAAGATGAAACTTGAGTGGGAACAGAGCCAAACTATATCAGATGCTGTTAGAAATAGGGATGGGGAGGAACATATTTCACATCCAGATGCTTCCCATGACTGCCTATTCATATGACCTTGCATGGTTTTAACAAAAAATGGACAAGCGCAGAAACTATTGCCTAAGAAGGGCTTAGTACCAGAGGCTCAGACTTCTCAGGGATGAGGGCATAGGTCATGCTACCAGGTAAGCCACTGAAATACGGAGAGGTGGTGGGCAAGGGTGAAGGGAATTGAGAATGGTGGGTAGAGGAATGTGATGGTGAGTATCAGCTGCTTCTCTAAGACCATCTGAAGCATTGTAGCAGCATTTTGTCCTGCTAGCCTTCTCTTCTAACTTTCTCACAAAAAGAAGATCTCCAAATTCTTAGAGGAGCTGCTCTGAGAACTTATATGAAGAAGTGGATCTGAGTGATAAAAGCTAGCAGTGGACTCTGGTATACACTGATGTAATACAGATTCCCCTTCATGACTGGAAGACTTATTCCGTCAGTCACTGACAATGTTGTTGGTAGAAGGCCTGACCTACCATCCCCTTCAGAAAATGTCTCAGCTAAAGAGAGTCACAACCCTTCCTGGGAAGCCTATATTTAATAACTTGTTGATGTAGGGGCCACCCAACTTTAGAGCTCCCCATGGGTTTGGCTGAAACCTTTATTGAAACTGCATCTTTTATCATTTTTTAATGAAGTTGCTTCCTCAGTGTCCATCTTTAGGCATCACATAAGTTGTTTAAAACCCAGTTGTATCCCATCACCTTTGGCCTAGTTAAAACTTTTCCTCCTTGTGTGGTGGTTGTTTGCATTATATCCTGCTTGTTCCTCATCTTACTGATCCACAGCCCAACACACCCCACAGCTGCTGACCACAGTAAAATCTAACGGTCGTTAGCCAGAGCCATGGAAATGAGTTCTCACCCACTGCCTGAGTCTTCTTGACACTAACCAATAGACAACCTTCAGGAAAACCCTAAGGAACAATGTTCATGGACCTTAATAAAGGCATAGTCTCATGGGCTTGTTCTCATTCTCTCTCTCTCTCTCTCTCTCTCTCTCTCTCCCTGCTGCCCTTCCCTTCCTCCTCCCTCTCCTCCCCTTACTCACTGGTTGTACTCTCCACCAACTCTGGGCTTTCCATTGGCCTCCCTTTGGCATCCCTTAGTTCCTGACCTCTCTGAGACCATTGAGTAACAAATTTCTTCTACTTCATGCATTTTGGTTTCCCTTCCTTGTTGTGTCTCACCTGACACACACACACACACACACACACACACACCTGCTTCTCACCTTATTTCTATTCACAGCTCTCTTAGAGAGTGGTTATAATGACAGGAATAAAGTGGACATAGATCAGATAAGAGCCGCAAGGGCATCTGCTGGTACAAACAAGATTCCTGTGAGAGGAACACAAGGTCACGGGTCAACATTTAGGACTCAGGCTATCTTCTAGGATAAAGAAGCACTCTGTGAATGCACATTATAAACATCCATGGCCAAATTCCTTGAATTTCCAATCAGGCAAGGGGAAAGCTTATGGATAGTCTCAAGAGAAGACGTCAAGATCAAATTAGAAAGAAAGCATAACAATGAAAACCAAAACAGCGTCACAGCCCAACTATTCCCTCTATCCAATCCTGCTTCTTTCCTTTCCCTTCCAAGGGCAGCTCCTAAGAAAATTTCCACACATGATCCCTTATAGTCCATTTCTCAGGGAATATAACATGTGACTCTACATTTTATCACCAATATCTTATTCTACCAGCTCTATAAACTCTTCCTCCGTGAATCCTCTCCAGGCAACCTTGTCAAGAATACTCAGAAATCCAGACTTCAGGTTGACAGAAATGTATACACAGGTCACATTCTCATTGCTTACCATCACCCTTACTGCTCACTTCCTTCCAAAACTTTGGCCGTCTGCTTGGGTTTGTATGCTAAATATTCTAAGTTGCTTTTATCTTTATTCCTCTATTTAGGCTTTGATTGCTGTTAGTATTATGAGACCAAAAGGAAGTCACAGAGACACCATTATTAAATCTTTTCATGCATATTGGCAGGAGAGTCAAATGTTTCCCCAACTTCTCCAAAGACGGTCTTTGACAAATCTTCAGGACAAAACCTCAAGGTAAACATATGGTCTCACCATGTCTTCTTCCATACAAGTCTGCCATTCTTTAGTGGGTGAATACTGATCAGATCTGTTAATTTTTCCAGGTCTGCTTATGCAGAGCTCTGCAAATGGTTGGGAACTCTTTACCAAGTCTGTTAAAGATGATGCCGGCAGAGTGTTTGATAACATGCTTGCCTTTTGTTCTCTTTTTATTACTATTCTCTTTGTGCTTATAAAATAAATGTAAATTACCTACTGAAATTATAGAAATCTAAGGCTTTTTAAAAAAGCAATATTCAGGGCAAAAAGAAATATTTGGAGATGCTATTAGAAAAAAGAGAACAATAAGGTGCAATTAAAAGGTTAGCAAAAAATATAACTGCATAAAATTGTCACTTTTTGAAAGATAGTGTTTTTAGGTGACAATGTTGCAAGGTAACAAACTTTTGGGATGAATGTGAGATGCCTTAGGTATAAATTGAACAGGAAAATAAAAGAGGGTATTTAATAAATATAACAGCATAGTGTTTGCTTATAAATAATGTAAATAATGTAACATAGGTAAAAATAAACAGTAGAGCGTTGACACCCCAGCTTTTATGAATGTCTCTTTTAAACCATTTCCTCTGGTGCTGGCAAGGACCAGGGAAAATGTGTGCTTAGAAACAAAAGAGTTGCGGAGTATCTGACCCATCTCATTACCTCTGTCATCTAAATAACCCAATAGAGGCCGGGCGCGGTGGCTCACGCCTGTAAACCCAGCAGTTTGGGGGGCCGAGACGGGCAGATCACGAGGTCAGGCGATCGAGACCATCCTGGCTAACATGGTGAAACCGCGTCCTACTAAAAATACAAAAAAATAAGCAGAGTGTGGTGGCGGGCTCCTATAGTCCCACCTACTCTGAGAGACTGAGGCAGGAGAATGGCGTGAGCCCGGGAGGCGGAGCTTGCAGTGAGTCGAGATCGCGCCACTGCACGCCAGCCTGGGTGACAGAGCGAGACTCCGTCTCAAAAAAAATAAAATAAAATAAAATAAAAATAAAAATAAATAACCCAATAGATATGTAGGCTTGTGACTTCAATTTTCAGCAATAGTATTTTGGGACAACTTTATAAAATTGCTGAAGTGCAACCTGAAATACTAGAGTAGAAACATCACAATAGATGAGAGACCCACATTTTATGCCATAATTTTTTAAATCAAGAATTCCATTTTTAAAAGAAAAAAAGGACTGCGAATTCCTGGGGATCTGCTGTGTAAATACAGACTGTATTAATCTGTTGATGTTGTTTGCGACTGCACAGCAGTGCTAAAAGTGCCATGTGGTTTGCGAGGCTGCATCTCGCATGACCCTCTCCTGACTCTCCTCTTCCTTTTCCAGTAACTTATTTTGAGCTTCTTTCTGAGCGCTTTACCTACTCACCCCTAAAATAGTTGAGGTCATCTCTTGATGCATGTGCTCTCCCTGGGTAATCGCTTCCCATTCTCGTAGGTTCAGTTGCTGCATACATAAATCTGTATCTCTATTCTGACCACTCTTCTGAGCACAAGATTTAGATATTCAGGTGCCTACTGAATACATTTAATGGGAATGCCCATAGGCAATTCAAATTCAACTAGAACAACATCAAGCTGAGGGCTTCTGATCTCTTTTCCAACTTGCCTGCAAACTTGCTGTTATTCTCCTAAGGCCTATTTTAGTGAGCGATGTGAAATATCCCAATTCCATCTCCACCCTTTTTCTTCAGCCTTTCTCTTTTTACTGTATCAGCTAAGCCTCCTCTCCATCTATCCCTCCTGCCCTCTCATTTAGACCGTTGCAGAGCCATTACCACAGGCCACCCTCTCTGCAAACCTCTTTGCATCTAATCAGTCCTAAACCCGCTGATGGTCAAATCCATCCTGATCAATCTGATGCCCAAATTCCCCACAGTAACATCCTTGATGTTTCTGCATTACAACGAATGAAGTTCAAAGGACAAACTATGACTTTTCAAGCCCTTTACAACTGGCTCCAGCTGTCCATCTGAGTGTCCATCGCCATCATCTGCCAGGCTGCTGCATGCACCTATGAGCTTCTGGGCTTATACTTGGGGTTTTCTCTCTGCCTATAGTATTTTTGTTCTTATTATACACTTGATAAACTCCTTAAATTACAGTTTGAACATTCAGTTACCATCTCTATGAGGCCATGCTTTGATGCATGCTTAGTTATTGCACATACCGTACCATCATGCTGTGCCATTTGGTGTTCATGTGTCTTACAGCACTTGGCAGGTTGTAATAGAATCAAGTTCATGTCTCCCTTTCTCAGAAACTTATTGGAAGCACAAAGATCAAGTCTTGCCCATATTTTCACCTGCTGTGTTGAATATACTGCCTAAGTTGTATTGTCTGCTCTTTTTGTGTGTTGAATTTTTAAATGTATAAACCTCTAAACAATAGAGCCATTTTGAGTCTATTTTTCAGTTGACATCATACTGCTCCACCACTCTAAAAAACGGTTTTTTCCCATTTTTTAATTTCAAATTATTTTTAATTATTTTAGATTTTTTAAATTAAAATACTTTTTTGTTGTTAATTTGATCCTGGCTTTGTGAACTCTTGGGAGACCCTATATTAAGTTTATCAACCAATGTCATTTACCCCTCAGTCGATGCTGTCACCAGTGTCCTTGCTCCCTCACCTGCTTTCACACAACATATTCCATTTCCAGACCCTGTTACCTGCTACTTCCAAATGTGCTCCAAAGACAGTCTACTATTTGTGGTGCTTAACACCAGATAAAAAGAAATGTTAATTCCTTCATAACTGTATTTATTATATAAAAACACATTCCTTGGTTAACATGTATTTTGGGTTAAATGTGTTTATTGAAACTTTTAAAACCTAAAAAACCACATAAATATTGATTTGTGTGCCCATAACAGAAAACGGTAATATAACTCTGTGCATATTTTCTAACCTCTGTAGAGTAAAAGTTGTTTTGACTTAGTGTTCGTCTTTTGATTACAGGACTATGTATTCTGAAAGCATATTCCTGAATGTCAGTCACATCATTTTCAGTGTTGATCTATACAGTTATATTTATTGCCTTTATTTCTACATCCTTAAAGGAACAACTTTTCTTTGTTATCCACTATATTTTTCTTCCAATAAAATTAGTTTATTTCATATTTCTGTTTAAAGTTTAACATTACTGATTTTCACGTAAATCATGTCAGTCACAATTAAGGAAATGAAAACCTAAATCTCTAACAGAAATAATGTGGTATGTAAAATAGTTATTCAAAATAAAGTCAGAATTGTTTTAATTTATTAAATTATAAATATCTTACACTTAAAGCACTTTTATATAACGTTCAGTTTTCTGCTCAATGACGAGTATGAAGGTACATTACACTTATTCAACTATTTTATATATACCACTTAACAATGAAAATTTCTAAATACATTTAGCTAGAAACATCAAAATTTAGTATCAATATTGTAAGAGCTTATGAAAAACTATTATTTCAAATTATGTATAAAATACCATATGATGACAAGAATATTAAGTAGCAATACGTAACTCAGAATCACAGCAATTCTTGTATAAATTAGACTATGATAAGTTAATAACATTAAGCTTACCAAGCCAAAAAGTCTCATCTTACAGTATAATGATTCAAATATAAATAAACATAAAACATTAACTCTTATAAAATATGCAAGCATTTCTAACTAGGTCCAATGAATGCCTCAAAGTAATTGCTTCATTTTAAATCATTATACAATCATGTATGAATACATACATAATTTGAGTCTTATTATTACCTTTTATTGGGAATAGTAACTATAACATCTCCATATTTTATTTCTTTTTAAATGTGTATATGCCTAAGGATAGTGGAATGCATTTGAAGAAATTTCACCCGTGGGAATAGAGCGTCAACTTTATACCAACATAGGAAAAGGTTAATGTGGTACTCTGTGGTTAATTAAAGAGTCCCCAGTAGACTTCTTTTTAATTAAGGGGATGTTCTAAATAGGATGCTCATTTTATGTTGTTTTCAGTAATGCCCAGTGGTCCTGGCTTGCCAGCCTTGGTTAGAGAAGAGATTCTGGTCATCCTGGACTCCATGTGAATTCACAGTCAAGGAAAATCTATTCTTCCTCTGCAATCAATGCCCATCCCCTAAAATCAAACGCTTGTCCATCTCCACTGCCTCATATGAACCCTAAGCACATTTACAAGTCAAGGTGGACATTCATTAACACATCTGTTGAAAATTAGCTGGAAGCTTCTTAAAGGCACATTTGTGTTCTTAATCATCTCTTTAGCACCCGATTCCCCACTCCCCCACACATAGAAGTTACTATTAAACTATTTAACAGCACTTATTAGATAAAACCCTAGTAACATAGCACAACTCATTTATTCTAGCACACAATCCCTTCCTTCTAAACCTCCTCACAGCCTTTATGTTAGATCTTTCTCCTCTTCGTTTTCTCCGATGGTTGTAAGTTTCCTGAGGGCTCCCCAGCCATGTGGAACTGTGAGTCCATGTGGAACTATTTATGACACTCTCAGTGTCATAATCAGGTGACCGTGTGTCCTGGTTCATTTCTGTTGTCATGACATGCTTATTAGTAGTGCTTCCTTTTCTCAAAAGTGACCTCGCTTGGAGATTGTGGTAGGCAAAGTCCCCCAAGGATGCCTGTGCTCTAATGCCCAGAACCTGTGAGTATATTACCTTACTTGGCAAAAGGACTTTGCAGATGTGATTAAGAGTAAGGACCTCGATGTATGAAATTATCCTGGATTAACTGGGTAGACCCAATCTAGTCACATGAGTTCTTAAAAGCAGAGACTCTTTCCTGGGTGGGTCAGAAAGAAGTGGCAGAAAGGGAAGGAGGAAAGCTTTCAGACATGAGAGGGATTCGACCTATCATGGCCAGCCCCGAAGATGGAGAACAAGAACAAGAGTCATAGAATGTGGGTGGCCCCGAGAGGCTGGGAACAGTCCTCTAATCAGCAAGAAAATGGGGCCCTCAGTCTTACAGCCACATGGAACTGAAGTCTGCCAATGACTCAAATGAGGAAGAACATGAATCTTCCCTCACAGCCTCTGATATGGGTCGGAGGTTGGTCCCCGCCAAATATCATGTTGAAATGTGATTCCCAATAGTATTAGTCAGAGTTCTCTAGAGGGACAGAACTAATAGGATAGATGTATATATAAAGGGGAATTTATCAAGGAGTATTCATTCACATGATCACAAGGTGAGATCTCACTATAGCTCATCCACAAGCTGAAGAACAAGGAAGCCAATCTGAGTCCGAAAATCTCAAAAGGAGAGAAGATGACAGTGCAGCCTTCAGTCTGTGGTCGAACGTCCAAGAGTCCCAAAGCTGAAAAACCGAAGAGTCCAATGTTCCAGGGCAGGAAGCATCCAGTATGGGAGAAAGATGGAGGCCAGAAGACTCAGCCAGTCTATTATTTCCATATTCTTCTGCTTGCTTTTGTTCTAGCCACACTGGCAGCTGATTAGGTGGTGCCCACCCAGACTGAGTGTGGATCTGCCTTTCCCAGTCCAGTGATTCAAATGTTAATCTCCTTTGTCAAAACCCTCAGAGACATACCCAGGAACGATACATTGTATCCTTCAATCTAATCAAGTTGACCCTCAATATTAACCATCACACCAATGCTGGAAGTTGAAGGTGATTGGTCATGGGGGTGGATCCCTCATGAATGGTTTAGTGCCATCCCCTTGGTGATAGGTGACTTCTTGCTCAGTTAGTTCATGTGAGATCTGGTTGTTTAAAAGAATATGGGAATCTCCCCCTTCTCTCTCTCTTGCTTCCTGTCTCACTGTGTGACATGTTAGATCTCTGTTGCTTTCCATGATGACTGCAAAGTTCCTGAGGTCTTCACAACAAACACACTTCCTGTACAGTCTGCAGAACCATAAGCCAAATAAATCTCTTTTCTTTATAACTTACTCAGCCTCAGATATTTCTTTATAGCAATGCAAGAATGGACTAACGAAGCCTCCAAGTCAGAACTCACCCTAACAATACTGTTGATTTTAGCCTAAGGGGACTTGTACTGTATTTGGTACTCCTACAAAACATTAAGGTAGTAAATTTGTTCCAGCCACTACTTTGTGTTAATTTGTTATGGCAGCAGCAGAAAATTAATAGACACATTAATTACATAACCACCTGAGTCACCAAGCTGTGTCAGGGCCCATAAACACAGAATCTGCACAGTAAGAGCATAAATCATAAACCCAGTTGAAGAGTCAGAGTGGGTGTGAAGAGTAGAGATAGGCGATGATATGGTTTGGCTGTGTCCCCACCCAGAATCCCAACTTGAATTGTAATCCCCATAATTGCCATAATCCCCGCCTGCCAAGGGAGAGACCAGGTGGAGGCAATTGAATCATGGGGGCCGCTTCACCCATGCTTTTCTCGTGATAGTGAGTGAGTTCTCACGAGATCTGATGGTTTTATAAGTGTGTGGTAATTCCTCCTGCGTTCATTCTTCTTCCTGCCTCCTTGTGCAGAAGATGTCTTGATTCCTCTTCTCCTTCTGCCACGGTAATAAGTTTCCTGAGGGCTCCCCAGCCATGTGGAACTGTGAGTCAATTACACCTCTTTCCTTTATAAGTTACCCAGTCTCGGGCAGTTCTTTATAGCAGTGGGAAAACATATTAATTCAGGCAACCTCTCCAGCCTCTTTAGAATCTGTCTCCATGCCCTTCAGTTCGGGAAGAAGAGAACGAGAGTATGTTTCTATACAGCAAGATATCAGGTGGTGCTGGTTTATGCCATTAGAGGTTGAAAATTTAATTTTATCTCTTCGGAAGAACTAGTTTACAGATGGATACGGAAATGACAATGTTGGCATTTTTGAGCGGATCATAATGCAGTTGAATGAATATGAGTTACATGAAAGAAGAAAGCACTTAAATGTTAGAAAAAAGCTGTGTCAGCTGCTTTGGCTTTCCATTGATTGAGTGCTGACTTCTGCAACTGCCTTTGCAGCTGTTTCAGGCTCAAGTGCTACTTTGTCTTTTAATTTCACATTCTAGAAATTAGCTACTTTAGTTTTAACTAGCTCACTTATTATTAAGCAATAAAGTCCATCTTTTCAGAACGTCATTTTTCTCCTTAGGAAAAGAAAGTGCGTAAGCAACATAAATATACAACTTTGCGAATCCAGTGGCAAATTCTCTTCTGTTGCAAAGCCTACATAAGGTCCTGAAGAAAGGTATGTTCTTGTCCTGAAAGGTGGATCACACAGGAATAAGATAGGTACCTAGTGGCCTGGCTGCAGATGAGGACAATTATGAGGATGGGGTAAAACTTATCAGAAAAATGAGGGAGCTTGAGAACTTCCCATCCTGCAGTGCCATGGTTTTGACAGGTCAGTCCCTAAACCACTGCACTATCTAAGACCTTGTTAGAACTGCAAAGTCTTGGGTCCTATCCCAGATGCAGTGAATCAAAAACTCTGGGGTGAAGCTCAACAATCTACACAAAAATCTACTACAAAAACCTTGCAGGTTGTACCGATATGGGCTAATGTTTAAGAAACAATGCCCTAACAAAACTCTAACTCCAACCACTCACTTTCTAAATTGTTCTGTTAGCTTTCTCCAAAGTTGTCTCATGAGACACCTTTAGGAGTACAAACAGAGGCTCCTCATATGAGGTTGCTGCCCTTGAAAGGTTTTTCTTTTGGGGAAATACACACCAATGGTAGAGTTCTTACTATATGTCCAGTGAGATTCGTGCCTAATAAATAGAAAACAATAATTACAATTGATAATAAGGGAAGCAACATTTTTAATGTGTAGGAATCCAGAAGAAAAGAAAAATCATTGTGCGTGTTTGGTCTCAAGTTTGTTCAACTGGCTCTCTACATTTTGCATTTTAGATTATAGTTTATTTGCTTATACAGTGAGAAAATATCGTGAAATATAGTTTGTAAATGTACAGGCCAAAGATTCAAAAGCCTGTTTCCATTCCTGCATATCCACATAATTTTGTTTTTGGGCCTTTAATGATTTTGATACTTGAGCTTTTATATTTGTATATTGTAAATATTTTTTTATTTTCCTGATAAGGATTTGACCTTCATCACTTTTACTTACAACTGTAATAGTCTCCTGAGGTGCTAGAAGAATATCTAGAAAATAAATGTCTAAATAATAGAAGGTTAATAATGCCAGAGCTAAGAAATCTAGCAGTTGAAAATGCTTTTTCTAAAAATAACATTATGATGGCATACTATCTTTATAGAGAGCAAAGTTAATCAGATAAATGTTAATGGGTAGAATATTAATAATTCAGATAGCGTGGGACTTCTAAAGCTGGTATGTAAGTAAAAGAGAATTTGTGGAAAGAATGGCAGCAAGCAAATAGGACCAAAACAATTGTAGATTGTAAATATACCTTAAGCCTATAGCAATGTGTTGGTTTGGATGGACTTCAGCCTGAGACATAGTGTTTATAATGCCCTGTTAAAGCATTAATTCTTGCTGCACTGCATACCTTAAATAATTACCACCAATTCTCTTCACTGTGGGATTAATTTGCCAATTTTTTTTTTTTTTGAGAGGAGTCTTTCTCTGTCGCCCAGGCTAGAGTGCAGTGGTGCCATCTTGGCTCACTGCAAGCTCTGCCTCCCCGGTTCACGCCATTCTCCTGCCTCAGCCTCCCGAGTAGCTGGGACTACAGGCACTCGCCACCACGCCCTGCTAATTTTGTTTTCATATTTTTAGTAGAGATGGGGTTTCATCATATTAGCCAGGATGGTCTCAATCTCCTGACCTTGTGATCTGCCCGCCTTGCCCTCCCAAAGTGCTTGGATTACAGGTGTGAGCCACCACGCCCAGCCAATTTGACTATTTTACTTCTTATGGCTCACCAGTTTCCTATTGTGTAAATCCTAGAAATATTGTATGTAACTGAAAACAATGTCAGTTGCAAGAAAAACAAATATGGAAAGATCTGAGTTCTGAAATCCACTGCGCAGTGCCTGCAAGTTTGAAAAGACAAGGAAAAGGGGTTCTTAGTGTATGAATGAGAAACTGACTGATCTGGACTTCCCACATACACCATGGTATTATAATACTTGGATTCGTATGGGCCAGTAATCATCATCTTTGAAATCATTAAAGGTCAAGTGTCAGCTTTCAGGAAGCGCTTCTCAAAATCAAGTCCTATTTAGATGACACTTGCATACTCTCACAATGCTTTTTGTTACAGGTTAAAACAGTGTATAATATTCATGCCTTATTGCTAATTCCACATGAATGGTCTGCTTTTAAGACTAGAGCAGATTGTTCCATTATTAATCTTCCATTTCCAATGTCTAAAAAAGTAATATATTGTATGTTCTCTATAAAATAATATAAAGTAGATAAATGAACAAATGCTTGTACCTAACATAAGCAAATATAATTAATAGCTAAAAATGAAATATAGTTGATAAACCAATGGTTGTCTCAACTTTATACTAGTTATTTTTGCAATTTCTATTGAGGCTTTGTCAAAACTTAAAATGAGGCTGGCCATGGTGGATCGCACCTATAATCCCAGTACTTTGAGAGGCCAAAATGGGAGAATTCCTTGAGACCAGCCTGGGCAATATAGCAAAATTCCCATCTCTACAAAAAAATAAAACAAAAAACATAGCTTGGCATGGTGACAGGTACCTGCAGTCCTCAAGTAGAGAGGCTAAGGTGGGAGGATCACTTGAGCCCAAGAGTTTGAGGTTACAGTAAGCTACGATAGTGCCACTGCATTCCAGCCTGGGTGACAGAGTGACGCTGTGTCTCAAATAATAAATGAAAGTTTTAAAAATAAGTAAAAATCAATCTAATGATCTTGCTATAAGTATTCATAGAATAGTGGATTGATTTTTAATTATATTGAATTGTACTTTCTTTTTAATAAAAGAAGGGAGGACCCTGGTCCTGTTTCACTGCTTCATGTCCTCTACTCCAGGAGGCACCAAGTGGTTCTGCTGCAGCCTCTGTCACCCCATGACCCGTAGGTACTGGGAGATCCATAGCTAAGGAAGTCCTGGAAGCTGGATTCTGTTGCATTCGAGGATGTGCCTATGAACTTTAACCAGCAGTGGTGGGCTCTGCTTGATCCTTCCCAGAAGAATCTCCATACAGGTGTGAAGCAGGAAAGTTTAGGGACCTGGCTTCTGTAGTAGGAAGAGCCAAAATGCCCAACTGGATGTAGCTAGGTAGAACTTCTTCCAATCAGAGACCAGACCATCAAGAAGGCTGGCACACTCTGAGCAGATCTTTGGAAGAAAGACATTGAGAGTGGACAGAGGGAGGACAGAGACCGTAGGCTGAAGCGGGAGGAAGCTGGGAACCCAGCCGGGGTTGCCGAGCACCAGGACACCTTTCTGGCCCTGAGTGCCTCCTGGGAAAGGTGTGGGTTAAACAGGCATGGAGGGACCCACTCTCATCACGGACCTCCAGAATCCTACCTGCAGGAAACCCCATGGACCTGCAGGAACTCAGATGGACATCTGAGCTAGCAGGGAGTGCTGCTGGGAGAGTTGGCAGAAACAGGATTTCCAGCCTGTGTGGAGCCCACAGGCTTTGGCACGGGAATGGCTTCAGGGGTGCATGGCCAGGGATATCCATCCCGTAAGACTTGCCATGCTTCTCTTGGTGGCTTTGGCCTTTGTTGACTGGCGAACCTGGACAGAACAGGGCTCTCTTGACTGTGAGACCGGGCCAGTCTAATGTGAGTGCCCCACTGTCTGAGTGCTGGCCTCTACCAGGGTGCCTGCCTAGCAGCATACACTTGTAGCACAGCCTGAGATGCCCAACCAGGGTACTTCTGAGCAGCAACTGCCATGGCTTTTTCACTGGCAGACCCTGCCTGACCATCAGAGAGCTTTGGCAGACAGAGCCCTACCAGTGCACACCTGCCCACAGCTTTCCCCACCATTTTCCTGGCAAGCACCAACCCACAGCCTCCCCCAACCACTTTGCCAGCACATGTGCACAACAGCCCCCACCACACTGCCATTGCCCCAACAAAAGCGCTTTAGCCAGCACTCCCCATAGGAGTATTTTGCCAGTAGACCAGTAACACATTGGCCACTCCAGCACAGAAGCTGTTTAACCTGAGGGGCCGGAGGACAAAGCTGTGGGCCTGGTCCTAGCTCCCAGGGTTAGAGCATGAGACCTGTTTAAACTAAAGAGCATCTACACAGCCATAGAAACTATCCACAGAATAAACAGACACCCTACAGAATGGGAGAAAGTATTTGCAAAGTACGCATCTGACGAAGGTCTAATACCTAAAATCTATAAGCAACTTCAGCGAGAAACAACCTCATAAAAAAATGGGCAAAGGACGTGAGCAGACACTTCTCAAAAGAAGGCACACACATGGCCAACAGCATATGAAAAAAATGTTTAAAGTCATTAATCATTAGAGAAATTCAAATCAAAACCGTAATGAGATACCATCTCACACCAGTCAGAATAGCTATTTAAAAGTAAAAAAAAAAAAAAAAATCAAAACAAAACAAAAAAAAACAGATGCTGGGTGAGTCTGGGGAGAAAAGAGAACACTTCCACACTATTGGTGGGATTGTAAATTAGTTCAGCCAACTGTAGAAAGCAGCTTGGAGATTTCTCAAAGAAGCTTAGAGCTACCGCTTGAACCAGCAATCCCATGACTAGGTATGTACCCAGAGGAATATAAATTGTCCTACCATAAAGACATATGTATGTGTATGTTCATTTTAACACTATTAATAGCAAAAACACGGGAACAACGGTGGACTGGGTAAAGAAAATGTGGTACACATACACCATGGAATACTACATAAGCGTAAAAAGGAACAAGATCATGTCCTTTGCAGCAACATGGATGTAGCTGGAGGCCATTATCCTAAGCAAATTAACACAGGAAAAGAAAACCAAATACTACATGTTCTCACTTATAAGTGAGAGCTAAACATTGAATATACATGGACACAAAGAGGACAACAAGGGACACCAGGACCTACTTGAGGGTGGAGGGTGAGAGGAAGGTGAGGATTGAAAAACTACCTCTGAGTGCTATACTCACTACCTAGATAACAAAATAATTTGTACGCCAAACCCTGGTGAAGTCAAGATTACCTACTTAACGCTGTACATGTACTCCCTGAACCTAAAATAAACTTTGGAAGAAAAAATAAGACATAAAAACTAAACTGTTGACAAATTAACACCAATTGCATAAATAAATAAGTAAAAAGAAAACTAATAAAAACTCTACACTTAAGAAAGAAAGAAGGGTTCCAAATGGGTATTTTTAACAATGGGTAAAAATGAAAACATAGGACAAATTCTGAAGAATTGAGATATTCTGTTTCTAATACTGAAATCCTATTTAAGTCAATGATGCAAAACACAACTATGACTTTTGTTTTGCTCACGTATAAAACTTTCCTATATAATTTCATTCATTTTATATTAGCATTAGTCATTGAAACACGTTATTAGTCATTTCTTTCCTTCTTAGTTCATAGTTCTGTCTAAAAGAAAATTTAAATACGGACATGAAAATAATTTAATTCAATGATAGAAATTGTTTTTCTACGATGACATGTTGCTGTTTCTCAACTAGTGAAAGGAAACTACCCTTGCTCTTTGATTCTCTAAGTTGCTGGATAGTCCTTAAACCAAGAAAAGGAGTGAAGTAACATGGGACCACTAACTGTGTGGCTCAAAGGCAAATAAACTTAATCTCTGAGTTTGTATTTCCACTTCTAAAAATATAAGAGATTTTCACTCGGAATATGATGAAGAGCCTTTCTAACGTTACGTTTCTATGCATCTGTATTTCTGACATTATACATGTGCCTGCTCATTGTTCCCTTATAACTTAGAGTTTCCAGAGCTGGTTTTACCCCAGGCCACACAGCCTCTCTCAGTGGGCATAATGGTGTCTACTAGTTTGTCTCTATGCTACTTAGGGGGCTCTTGAATGACCTAAAGTCATAAATTGATACACTGCTGACTCCCAGCTGTAACATCAAAACAATCATTTTTGTTTTCATCTTTGAAAGCTTCCTAGGAAAGCATTTTCAGAAAAATTTCAACACTGTTTCCTTGAGAGTGGGGTTTGCAAATGTATATATGAAATATGAGGAAATTTTCAAAATATGAAAATTGCAGGAGGCACTTTGCACAGAAGCTGAATGATGGGGAAATTTTTGTGGGAATAGTTTTGAGGCATGTCAAGCTGATGTCTTTATGCACTTTATATGAAACTTTTTACATTTGTTTCTTGCAGAACCAAGTAAGTTTCTCCAAAACTGAAAGATAGATTGATATATTTCCTTTTAAAATATGTATGTTAGCAAAACTTGGAAATATTTTCTTCTCTATTTATATGTCCTCAAAGATATATACAAAGAAACTTGAATTCAAGTGAATTGTGTCATACTTTCTTTAAAGATATAATCACTCTTAAAATCTCTTTTAAATATTGTAGATTACATATATACGAACAGGTCTGCTAATTCCCTTAGAGATCTGGTCTTTGCCAAAGACCTTAGAAAGGCTACATTTCGCTCTGCTCTACTCGTCTTTGTTTTTCATCAGAGAATCCCTAACATTTTTTCTTTTTTGGAAGAAACAGTCTCAGACCGTTCTTTAAGTCTCCATCAATGTGCTTGTTTTGGTTGCTAAACTCAGAAAGAGAAAGAAAATGACATTAGGGATATGTGTGTTCCAGCCTCCATTTTCCGTAAGAGTTCCTTTCTTCCACTAAAAAGCAAACAAAATAAAACAGATCATCTTAATATAGGGAAACAGAATGCAAAGAACATGGATTTGTAGTCAGAGGTTGATTCAAATAACAATGCTACCACTAACAAACTGTATGATGTTAGGTAAAGTATAATTTATCTAAACCTTCCAAAGTGATATTATAAGGCTCCTCTCTCTGTGTTGATCTGAAGTTTGAATGAAATAATGAAATTATATATGATCTCCCTAGAGGGAAATATATCTATAATTGAAGGTAGTTACCGTCCCTCCCAACACTATTAAGTACATGGTTTTAAGGGGACTCCCAAAGGGATAAAGCCATACAGAAATATCTTGAGGATGACAGGATATCTAAAAAACAGATGGACCTGCATTACTCTTCAAACCCAATTCTTCCATCTGTGGAGAAGGCAGTGAATATAGTCCTGGGAGGTTGCAGCACATGAGCAAGGAACCAAATGTTTATTATAAGTTATTTGATAAGTAGGTTGCAAAAAATTTCTCCCATTCTGTAGGTTGCCTGTTCACTCTGATGGTAGTTTCTTTTGCTGTGCAGAAGCTCTTTAGTTTAATTAGATCCCATTTGTCAATTTTGGCTTTTGTTGCCATTGTTTTTGGTGTTTCAGATATGCAGTCCTTGCCCATGCCTGTGTCCTGAATGGTAATGCCTAGGTTTTCTTCTAGGGTTTTTATGGTTTTAGGTCTAACGTTTAAGTCCTTAATCCATCTTGAATTAATTTTTGTATAAGGTGTAAGGAAGGGATCCAGTTTCAGCTTTCTACATATGGCTAGCCAGTTTTCCCAGCACCATTTATTAAATAGGGAATCCTTTCCCCATGGCTTGTTTTTCTCAGGTTTGTCAAAGATCAGATAGTTGTAGATATGCGGCGTTATTTCTGAGGGCTCTGTTCTGTTCCATTGATCTATATCTCTGTTTTGGTACCAGTACCATGCTGTTTTGGTTACTGTAGCCTTGTAGTATAGTTTGAAGTCAGGTAGCGTGATGCCTCCAGCTTTGTTCTTCTGGCTTAGGATTGACTTGGCAATGCGGGCTCTTTTTTGGTTCCATATAGGGCTAATATCCAGAATCTACAATGAACTCAAACAAATTTACAAGAAAAAAACAAACAACCCCATCAAAAAGTGGGCAAAGGATATGAACAGACGCTTCTCAAAAGAAGACATTTATGCAGCCAAAAGACACATGAAAAAATGCTCATCATCACTGGCCATCAGAGAAATGCAAATCAAAACCACAATGAGATACCATCTCACACCAGTTAGAATGGCGATCATCAAAAAGTCAGGAAACAACAGGTGCTGGAGAGGATGTAGAGAAATAGGAACACTTTTACACTGTTGGTGGGACTGTAAATTGGTTCAACCATTGTGGAAGTCAGTGTGGCAATTTCTCAGGGATCTAGAACTAGAAATACCATTTGACCCAGCCATCCCATTACTGGGTATATACGCAAAGGACTATAAATCATGCTGCTATAAAGACACATGCACACGTATGTTTACTGCGGCACTATTCACAATAGCAAAGACTTGGAAACAACCCAAATGTCCAACAATGATAGACTGGATCAAGAAAATGTGGCACATATACACCATGGAATACTATGCAGCCATAAAAAATGATGAGTTCATGTCCTTTGTAGGGACATGGGTGAAATTGGAAATCATCATTCTCAGTAAACTGTCACAAGGACAAAAACCAAACACCGCATGTTCTCACTCATAGATGGGAATTGAACAATAAGAACACATGAACACAGGAAGGGGAACATCACACTCTGGGGAGCGTTGTGGGGTGGGGGGAGGGGTGAAGGATAGCATTAGGAGATATACCTAATGCTAAATGATGAGTTAATGGGTGCAGCACACCAGCATGGCACATGTATACATACGTAACTAACCTGCACATTGTGCACATGTACCCTAAAACGTAAAGTATAATAATAATAAAAAAAAGTTATTTGAGTTGAGTTCTTATACTGGCTGTATAAGAACTGAATATAAAGTATGCGTGATAATAATCTGGAGTATGAAATAAGACAGTGGATGTATATAACAATGTTTTTTACTGTATTGACACTAGCCATTCATATGCCCTCAATTTCCCTCTTCCTTCTTCTGAACCCAGGCCCCTCTGCTGATGCTATCTCCTTGTACTGTGTGCCTTCCTTGCACTGGTATTGATGTTCCTCCAGTGGACTTGGTTAACCCTCATTGAAAATAATATGTAGCATTTCTATGAACTAATTCACCTATTTATTTCCCTATCTTGATTTTTTGCCAAAAATAGCCTTGTGGTACCACAGAGAAGCTTCTTATTCACAGGAGTCACGATGATTTCTACTCAAATCTTTGACGGTCACCTTGGTTTTTAAATGTTCACACTTGAAGCATATTTTTCAAATCCTTAAAAACAGTATTTATGTTATCTAATACATGTCTCAATGTTAAGAATTCACTTTTGACAAGATAAGCATTTTTATCTACTCTTTCTTTGCTTCAAATCAGATTTCCGGTCTATATTTCCTGTGTACGTGAAAAGATCAGGAGAAAAGAACTTAGGTTGTTTCTAATGCCCTTAGGAGACTCTTCTTAACTCTGTGTTATCAGGCATTAACAGTTCCAGTTACGGACATCATTAGAATTTATTTTTTTCTGACAGGTAATTGACCCATAGCTCTCAAGGGTGGAGTGAGTGGAAGAGAAAAATGAGATCCCAAGCAAAAATAAACTTTCAGTAATTAGCCCCAGCAGAACAAGTTCTGCTGGCGTTTCATTGTCCCCTACTGATTGTGAGAACCCAGTGTTCTGATGTGTCCTCAAGCTCAGACACTGCATATGATTACACCCTTCCACCCACTGAAGGAGTTAGACGAGGGTAGACCTAACCATTATCTTGGCATTTCACTGGTTTCCAAACAGTATGTTCCTTAGAACTTCAATTTAATAAGATGCTAACAGGTATTAAGCAAAAAGTTTCTGTAGTCACATTCTTTTGAGAAAAGTGTAAACAAAATTGAACAAAAGTCTTTGTTGTAAGACTTCTCAGAGCATTTAATACACAAATGTGTAACGTGACTCTCCCAAAGAAAGATACAGTAACATAGTTAACAGCTTGTATATTTCCAAGGAACTCTTTGATTTTTACAGAATACACTATAGAGTATATTGGTAAGAAATCTAAATCAATATCACAAATATATCAGTTTTAAAATGTTTCCAAACAAAAATCTGCACTGAAAATAATTTCACCAGTAAGTCCACCGTTATTTGTTCAATGAGTACCAGTTTACTCTTTGCCAAAATAATCATTTAGCGTGGATCTAGAGTCAAGAAATAATGACTGTATAGCTAGCTCGTGAAGAATAAGATGTAATGGTTTTTTTTTAAATTGTTGTTGTTCAACAGTTAACTCAGATAAATTAGTTTCCAAATCAGATTTCTAATTACTACCTTACTGATACAATTTAAGTAGTGCAATTGACTTGTTCAAAGAATAAAATAATTTTATTAACCAGCTCCTGGTTATACTGGAAACCACAGGATTACTCCATAAAAGCAGAATTAACGTGTCTATAGGAACCATCTCTATGACAATGTTCATAAACATGCAAAAAATATTATTCAATAAACATCAAGTAGGAGGCATAAGATCTTCACTCAGAAAAATGTTTATTATAAGTTATTTGAGTTGTGATATTTTATAAAATTTTTAAAACTGAAGCTTTAGATACTATGTTTAAATGAAAGATTTTATAGAGAGCTGTGCAAATAATAATCAAAATATTTGGATAGTTAATCCCAAATATGATAAACTCAGACATGACAATACATTACGTTTTCTTAGAAAAAAAACCCAAAATGTTATTGTTCTGGATTTTGTAGATATTTTAGTTTATAATGAAGTTGATTTTTATCAGTTGTTTCCATTTTTTTACCAATACTTTTTTCCTCTCCAAATGCTAAGTATTTCATAATACTTTTTGTAATGAAAAAAAGTAAATATTTTATATTGTATACGTTATATCACATTTGAGATTTAGATTCTTCTTTTATTAATTAAAGATAATACCAGGACTATTACAAGAATTAAATGAAAGAAGGTCTGTAAGGTATATATTTTTAAACATTCATACACTGGACAAAAAAAAAGGTATAAATATAGGCATTACCATATTTTTTATAATGTTATGTTTAAAAGGTGATTTAGCAGACGTCAACAGGGGATTTGAATCAATAATTTACGTCTCTTCTGATTTTAGAATCTAAAAGCCGTGTAATATACAACTCTCTCCCTCATCCTCGAAACAACAAAAATTATTTCATGAACTATTTTTAAGGCTACAAAAACTCTTATTCTCCTTGTATTTGAGGTCCTAGCCAGTACAATGATACATAAAAGAGAAATAAAAGGCATACAGATTGAAAAGAAAAGGGATACAGAGTAGAAATAGATTATCATCTATTCACAGACAAGATGAATGTGTAGAAAATCCTAAGGAATCTACAAAAGTAAAATTGCTAGAAATAATAGAATTTAGCAAACTCACAGGATGAAAAGTCAGGATACATAATTCAGTATATTTTTATATACCAGCAACAAATAATTGAAAATTAAATTTAAAATAAAAATAATACCACCTGCAGTCACATCTAAAAGCATGAAATGTTCGAAAATAAATTTAGCAAGGTGTGAGCAAGACCTTACCCAGAAAACTGTCAAACATTGCTGAGAGAAATAAAAGAAGATAAATAAATGGAGAGATAGGAATTTCATGGACTGGAAGACTAAACCTTATTGGGATCTCAGTTCTCCACAAATATATCAGGAGATTCAATGCAATCCCAGTTAAAATCCCAGCGAGCAGTAATGTAGAACTTAATAAACAAATTCTAAAACTTGCCTGAAAATGCAAATGCTTAGAAAAAAGAAAAAATGTTTTAAGGCTTAATATAAATCTGTAAAAAATTAAGAGGGTGTGCTATTTGAATCATAATAAAATATAAATCAACAAAATAGAGTCCAGAAATAATCCACACATATAATATTAGCTGATTTTCAACAAAGATTCAAGGCTGGGTGTGGTGGCTCATGCCTGCAATCCCAATGCTTTGGAAGCCAAGGGGTGAGGATCGCTTGAGCCCAGGCATTTGAAAACAGCCTGAGCAACGTAGCAAGACCCATCTCTACAGAAAAATCAAAAAATAAAAATGAGTCAGGCATGGTGGCAAACACCTGTAGTCTTAGTACTTGGGAGGCTTAGGTGGGAGGATTGCTTGAGCCTAGGAAGTTGAGGCTGCAGTGAGCCAACATTTTGCCACCGCACTCCAGAGCAGTGACAGAGTGAGACCCTGCCTCAAAACCAAACAATGAAAGATTCAAGATAATTCAGTGAGGATACAATAATCTTTTCAATAAACGATGCTGAAGTAATTAGATATCCATATGAAAAAAAATGAGCCTTGCCATTAACATCATTGTACCCCAAAATTAATTTAAAATAAGATATATTGTAAAAATTAAAATTACAGAAATATTAGAATAAAACAGAAGATGTTTGCAACTTTGAGGTAGGCAATCGTTTCTTAGGACACAAATAATGAAAGAAAAAATAATAAATTTGACCTCATTAAAATTAAAACCTTTTTCTCTTTGAACAATACTATTATTAAAATGAAAATGCAAGCTATGGATGGGGAGAAAATGTTTAAAATACATAGATCTGACAAAGAATTTGTATCTACAACACATAGATAACTTTTACAAGACAATAATCCATTGATAAAATTGGCAAAATATTTGAACAGACACTTCACAAAGAAAAATATACAAATGGCTACTAAGCATATGGGGAGATGCTTATTATCATTTATTATCAGGGAAATGCAAATTAATGCTAAAATGAGAAACCATTACAGACCCATTAGAATGGCTAAAATGAAGGAGCCTGGCAAGGATGTGGAGGAACTGGCTTTATAATACATTGCTGAAGGAAATGTAAAATGATACAACCACCTTGAAAACCAATTTGACATTTCCCTATAACATTAATCAAGCTCTTATCATTCAACAAAACAACACAAATGTCCATCATCAGGTGAGTGGATAAGCAAATTTTAGTATATTCATACAACAGAATACTATTAGTGATACCAAGGAATGAAATACTGCTACTACGAACAGCATGTAGGAATTTCAAAATCATGAGAATGAAAGTCAAAAACGAAAGAGTACGTAACACAGGATTTCATTTTTATAAAATTCTAGGGTAGGCTAAATTAATCTATAGTAACAAAAAGCAGATCTGTGATTGGCTGGTTCTGGAATCAGAGATGTTGATTGCAAAGGGCATGAGGCAAAGTGATGGAAATGTATTGCCTCCTGATTGTGATGAAGGCTGTGTGGGTATGAACATTGGACAAAACTTACTGAATTTAATATTTCCAGTAGTGCATTTTATTGTGCACAAATTATATCACAATAAAGTTGATTTAAAGGAGGAAAAGAAGGCTGGGCGCTGCGGCTCATGCCTGTAAACCCAGTACTTTGGGAGGCCGAGGTGGTGGGTCACTTGAAGTCAGGAGTTCGAGACCAGCCTGGCCAACATGGTGGAACCGCATCTCTACTAAAAATACAAAAAATTAGCCAGCTTGGTGGTGGGTGCCTGTAATCCCAGCTACTTGGGAGGCTGAGGCAGGAGAATCGCTTGAACCCAGGAGGCGGAGGTTGTAGTGAACCAAGATTGTGTCGCTGCACACCAGCCTGGGTGACAGAGTGAGATTCCGCCTCAAAAAAAAAAAAAAAAAAAAAAAGAAGAGAAAAAGAAGAAAAGGAAGAGGAGAGTCAGCCCATGCCAGACCAAGTGCTGCAGTAGAAGGAAGCTATTTTTCTGGCATACTGAGCCTTGCTTTGGTACAGCACCATAGAGGCAAGATCCCCAAGGCCAAGGCTAGTCAGAAGGCCTTGGCAGAGCCACAGAAGTTGACATGCCCAGCATGGCTTGGCTTGTAAGCAGCAGAATTGTCCCCTGCCTTGAGAATGGTGAGGGGTTAGAAGACACTCGAAAACTACTGCACATACAATTATGTCACTCGGCATGGTGCAGAAGTGGTAGATGAATCTCTTGCTGAGAAGAGGACAACAGGATTTTTCTGATAGGAATGAGAAATGACACAGCCACAACCTGTATGTGCTGACAGTTGGGATCCAGGTGTGATGTCAACATGTTCAAAAGTGAACTGGGATCAAGTTCTCTCGGTGTCACAGGCCTGGACAACTAAAGTCTCAGACTTTAGACACAACTGTAGAGAAAGGGAGTAGGAACCCCAAATTGCCACCTCATACAACATTCGGGGTGCATATTAGTTATTGAGATGTGTTATAGAAAAATAAATTGGAGCTTTCTCACATCTGAGGTTTAAACTGAGATCTGTACTTTGTATATCTATGATCATCAAGTAAATTTTTGCTTGTAGGTGTTCTCTTTTCCTTTTAAAGAGGAACACCACAGAGATCACCAATGTTTTAAAAGTAGTCTCTTTACCTTAATACTCTCATTCAAAAAAGAAAGAAAGAAACTGTGCTAGGACCCTTAAAATTTATTTTTGGTAGAAATAAGAAATCATGAACCCAATGTAGTTACATATACACCTCTCACAAAAAGATTATACAGCCCAGGCACCTTGTGCTGCCAAATTCGGAATCCCCAAGCCAATCTGGAAGACTTCCTGCCACTCTTGCACAGCGGGGATGAAACCGGGTCAGCCTGTCGCTTTGCAAGCTGCTGGACTAAGGAAAGGAGAGCATGTTGAGAAGGAGGTGGGAGGAGCATGAAGAAAAAGAGGATAGAAACAGCAGAGGTTTTGCAGGAATTTTGAGAATATTCAAATCTTTCTTATCTTGACTATCAGCCTCCAAAGGGAAAGCCAAAAAATCGATGTTAATTTGTTTTCTGCTTTACAAATCATCAGTCTGATAGGAAAACTGCAGAGTGGATTACATAGCCTTCTCAAGATGTTTCAAAAGAAAAATACCAAAGTTAGAAGAACCGTAAGTGGAAGGCACTAACCGCAGACCATGGAAGCATCCAACAGGAGGCAGAATTAACTCTGGTAGATTTGATTAATTGTCCATCAGGGATCATTCACTTCCACGCCACCCCACTATTAAGCTATTCCCATATATAAACTATACTAGCACTATTGTATCTGCATATAAAGCCTCTATTTATTTGCTTATACCAATTTCTGCTTTCTTGTTCCTTATTTAAATAATTCCCTAGTTAATAATGGATAAACAGTCTTTTCTTCCCTTCTCCTGTATTTCTGTGTGAGTTATTTTACACCTGAACTGTAACTATGCTGTTTCATAGGAAAGTATTCCTTGAACTGGCTGCAAGTATTTTATTTTATTTTTCTAATAATCATAGCAATGTTAAACGTAGAGATAATTCTAACATTTGTGGCATAAAATAGAAGTCCTGTTTAACAGAGACCATTCGAATATAATTGTAGTGATGTTAAGATTTACTTTTAAATTTGATATGCATAAGTAATCGACAGAATGACAGATCTCCTAAGGTAAATGATGGATTATAACAGAATAGCAACATTTCAAGTTCTCTCATTTAAGATTCTGAGATTCATTTTGTTAGAGCAGTGGTTTTCAAACAGGGATTTTGTTGGTGTGCAGGGCAGGAGTATGGGTATCTCTGGAGAGATGACACTAGAACCATCTGTGGAGGTTTTCAGATTTCAGTTCTCAAATTCTGATTCACCTACAGGGAAAGGTTGTAGACCCTAAAACAATTTCCCTAGACAAGCTTAATATGTGTTCTCTACTTCCATCCTTAACCCCCCATCACGAGACTGGGAGGCACTGTGTTAAATCATTTTGCTTATCCATTAGACGAGCTTCATTAAGCAATGGACAGGGTGGAGGGAAGGGAGTCAGCCTTTACCAAGCACTATGTAAGTGTAGTCGCCGTACTGGCCACTTTTCATGCAATGGGGCTCAAGAAGGTCTCCAGCAATCACATCTCTGCAATCTTTAATTCCCTCAAGTAGGATTTAGGGAATTAGCAGTCAGTGATTCTAACAATGAATGACCTAAGTTGTCCCCAGGGACACGGGATAAAGGTATTATTGGTCTCCAAATGGCCTTCTTTTGCAAAGTGTTGTATAATAGCAATAAGTACTCTGAATATATCATGGTCTTTGATTGGCAGGCCCTGGGGATGATTTCCTCAGAAATACACTTTGGAGCTGCCATTTACTAATTTGAATCTGTTGTTACTCAGAAGCATTGTATTGCAAGACTGAAAATCTGAGGAAATATTCAAACAGTCTAACAATGAGAAATACATGTATACAGTTTAAATATTGAAACACTGAGCAAGAGGGTGATATCACATTGTTCTTTAAGGTTTGATTTCTATGTCTCTTACTCTCCAAGTGAAAATTGTAGTCTATATATCTTTATTTCTCTAAAGTATAATTAACATGTTCTAGTTTTTTATGAGAATGAGAAGCAAGAATTGAAAATTAGTTGCATATATAGGGTAGCATTAAACAATATGGGGATTGGGGTTTTGACCGCTGTGCAGTTGAAAATCTGTGCAATTGTAATTGGTTAATGTATCTCTTAAACCTCTTTTGACCTATAAATTTACCCTCCACCTCTTTTCTTTCCTTTCAATTATATGTTGAAGAAGCTGTTGTTGGTCCTGTTGTCCCCTACAGTCTGGTCTGCGCTGATTGCATCCCCGTGGTGTAGTTTAACGACTTCCTGTGTTCTCTGGATTGCTGTAAATTGAGAGTTGGATCCAGAAGTTACATTGTGTTCATATTCCAATTTTATTACAATACTGCTTTATGGGCAGTGATACATTCATCATCCCACTTTTTGTTGTGTTAATCATTGATGCTCAATGTCTAGATGCGGCAACATGTTTTTCAGATGAAGATTTAACAGGAATATCTGCATGCATGACCTTTTTAGAAAAAAATTAATCCACTAAAAATGAGCAAGAGTAGCAGCTACCCACTTTAGATAGGATATGTGTTCTCTGGACCCAAAAGTCCCCATAAACCCACTCCCCGGTCGTCTGCACTTGGTCTATGCCTTCATTTATATTTTCTGCTGATCTCCAATAGGGCTTTACCATCTCGAGCAGAACTTCTTCCTAAATGGAAGCAACATAGAGAATTGAAGTTTTTCATTTGTTTATTTGTTTGTTTTAATTAAAGCTAGTAAACAGAAGGATTGGAGTAGAGCAAAAAAGAAATACAATATTGAGGACAATATTTATATAGAAGAATGAAAGTACTTTTGGTAGTAGAAAATAAAAAGTAATAAATATGAGTAACTAGTAAACCAAACATAGTTCGAAGATTTGTAGTTTGAATATATACTATGTCAGAATGACAACTCAAGGAGAATTTAACAATCTCTCAAACATTTCTCTTGCAAGGACTAAAATATTTTATCCATGTCCAGTCTAAAGTCATGATAGGTTTAATTTACTCCAGTCTAGTAGTATCAAGGTATCATTTTCTAAATACAGTTTTACTCTGCCAAGTTTTAAATTATTTTAGTTTGATTAAATTGTGTCTTCATCTATCTTACCTTCATCCTTCAGTTATGAATCTGTTATAGTAAGATGCCTCTGGCTTCACGGTAAGTTCTCTGATCATCTGAATCTGGTTAAATTGTTAATAAATACAAAGAGTTTTTTAAACCACAAACAATGTCCCAGAGGAGAAAGTAACCAACAAACATTGAAGTAAATCCTGGTCAGAACACTTATTGAAATCCATAAAAAAAAAAAGACAAATATTCTCCAGTCTAGTTAGCCACAATACTAAAACAGTAAGATCATTTTGAAATGGTAAAATCACTCTGCTCCTAGACAATCTTATTTAACATTATCTTGGTTTTTATTCTTTAAGTCTCCTATGAATAATGAAAATTATTCTTCTAGCCTAACAGATGTTAAAATAGTATTTCTTCACTTGAAGCAAACCTTATATTTCCACTATCAACACTTTAGGGAAACAATAGCATTTTGGGGAAAGGAAAGAAAGAACACTAAAATGTTACTTAACAATAACATTCTACATACTATTCTAGAAACAGAAAGCTCATTAAGAACATATTAAGCAGCTCCACACGTGATTTCTGAGGAGGTTTTTGGAGGAATTATTTGTACCCAAAAGGAGCTCTGAATTCGTTTGTCAGAAAGAGTGACTAAAGACAACATCCACAGAAAAAGAGAGCCAAAGGAAAAAAAAATTAATAATTTTTGTATTTGGACATGGCAGCCAAACCATTGGCCATAGATTAATTCATTAAATAAATATTTACTGAACCCTAATTTTGTGATAAAATCTATAGAAAGAATGACACCTGTTTTTGAAGAACAATCTGGTGAGAGTGACAGACTCATAATATGAATTACAATAAAATGTGGTCAATGTCAATATAAACACGTACAAATTGTTCCTAGAACACAGATGAAAGGGTCAATTGTTTTGCCTAAGGGAGTCAAGGATATATTCACAAAAGGAGTAAATTGTGATGTGGGAGTTAAAGAGTAAAAGACAAGAAGCATGGGAGGTAGGAGTAGCAGACAAGAGCCAGCACAAAGGTGCAAAGACGCAAATGTACATGGTGCATCCTATATAACACTGTGCAGAATATAAGATTTGTAAATATAAAATCAGCTGGGTGCGGCGGCTCATACCTGTAATTCCAGCACTTTGGGAGGCCAAGGCGGGCAACCACATGAGGTCAGGAGTTCAAGACCAGCCTTACCAATATGGTGAAACCCCATCTCTACCAGAAGTACAAAAATAGTCGGGTGTGGTGGTACACACCTGTAGTCCCAGCTACTCATGAGGCTGAGGCAAGAGAATCACTTGAACCTAGGAGGCAAAAGTTGCAGTGAGCCGAGATCACACCACTGCACCGCTCCAGCCTGGGCGACAGAGGGAGACTCTGTCTAAAAAAAAAAAAAATTCAGGTGAGTGGTTTCTGGCATTAAGTGGCTCAACAATGTCAGAGTTTCATCTCTAAAATTCTGTTGGTTCTTCATGCTTGTAATTTCAAAGTCACAAGATGACTGCTGCAGCCACAGAAGTCTCATAACCTCTGCAGTGGAAAGAATTAGTGAAGGAGTTTCTCAGCAGTGTGTCGTCTTTTGTCATGAAAGTAAAATATTTCCCAGAAATGACCAGTAGAGTTTCACTGACATTTTACCAGCAAGAATTACATTAAGGACCACTCCACTCCTAGCAGCAATGAAGTCTGAAAATGGAGATATTTAGCAGGTTCTTGGCTTTAGGATTCTCTCAGCAAGAGAAAATGCAAAAGTGGATACTAGATTAGGTACAAATCCCAATGCCTACTATCTCTTCAACAGACGGAGAGAAATTAATGACAATCTAAAATTCTGTAGGCAATGACAGTATCCATCAAGAGGGAGGGAGAAACAGGCAAAAGTAATCTCTCAAATGAGAATATAGGAGAGGAATTATATATAGGAAAGAGGGAAGGGCTAATGACAGGATACAAGAAAAACCTCTGAAGTGCAATAACATGCAAATGGTAAAACTAAACGAAAGCATTGGGAAACAGGAGTAAACCTCAACAAGTAAACCTTGACTGTACAAAATGATAATGATAACAATAACAACTACTAATTTGATTAAAAGATTAAGGATGAGTGAAAATCCTAAACAACAGTAACATGTATGATTGGATAGGATAATGAGAGCTAAAGCATTCTAAGATTCTTATATCCTTCAGGAAAGTACTGCTTAATATTGTATTAGCAATGTATGCTTGTCAACATTTTAAAGATGGCATTTAAATAAGAGATTTTCTGCTCCTTTTCAGTCTTTCCCCCTCCTGATTTTGAAATGGGAGACTTCCATTATCCCCTTCACTGGGCATGCAGTAGGGGTGTGGCTCACTTCTTTGGTGCCCAGCTGCTCAATCCCTAGGGGAAGCATGTAGACGAGCAGGTGCAGAGGTCATGGGGAGCACTTTTGGGCTCTGACCCCATGGTAGCATCTAAGGGTGAGTGTTTATGACTCCCAGAGTCCAAATGGGCATGTGTTACAGTGTGCTCTTTCAGTTTTGCCATCTACAGGCAACTTGTGTTAATAGCTCAATTAGACCCTCTGCCTTATTGCAAGGGCAGAGGACTTTCTGTATCCTGAGTTCTTGTCCAGTGTACCGGAAAAATTAGATCACATGTGGGCTTGGAGGATGAGTGCAAGGTTTTATTGAGTGGTGGAAGTGGCTCTCAGTGAGATGGATGGGGAGCTAGAAGGGGGATGGAATGAGAAAGTGGTCTTCCCCAGGAGACAGGCTGCCCAATGGCCAGACTCTCCTCCAACTCCCCACTGCCAGACTCCCCTCGGCATCCACGTTGTTCCACCATTGTTAGTCAGCTTGTGTCTGCTGGTGTGTTCCTCTGCTCCTCTCAATGTCTAGCCACTTGTGTTTGTGCCCACTAAGGTCTTGGGCTTATATGGGCACAGAACAGAAGGTGTAACAGACCATAGTGGTCTTGGAAAATGCAACATTTGGGCACATAAACAGGAATGCCTGTTCTCTCTTAGGTCCATGGCACAGGCCCAAGGGTGGAGCTCTCGCCAGGACCCTGCCCTTCTCTACCCAGCACTTCCTTGCCCTCCTCCCATATGACTTCGATCTTGGTTGGGTCAGAAACTTGTTAACAAGGAGTAGGAGGGATGCTTCTGAAGGGAGGGCAAGTACCACACTGCTTTTCTAGCAGAGGGCAGCTCATCTCAGAAGATACTGGAGGGACTTTCTCTTTAAATGATGATGAAAATGGAAATTAACATATTGAATTGAACATTCTAATTTCTAAATCAAGACTATGTTTTGTGTAGTTCCCAAACTCTGGGTGAATTAGAGTCATCTGGGGAGCTTGGTAAAGGTACACATGCCAGGCCCTTTCCTATTTTTGTTCTGTTTTACTTTAAAGTAGGTATAAGACATCATATTATCTAAGAGTTACCAGACACGTCATGAATTGCCTGCACTCTTATCTAGTACTAAGGGTGAACTTTGCTCATGTCATCATTTTTTTGTTGGGGTGGGGGCAGTCATAGTAGGCTGTTCTCACATTGATATAAAGAAAATACCTGGGACTGGGTAATTTATAAGAGATAATTGGCTCATGATTCTGCAGGTAGTACAGGAAGTATAGTGGCATCTGCTTCTGGGGGGGCCTCAGGAAGTTTCCAATAATGGCCAAAGGCAAAAGGGGAGCAGGCACATCCCATGGCAAAAGCAGGAGCAAGAGAGCAAGGTGAGAGATGTCACACACTTTTACATGACCAGCTCTGACAAGAACTCACTCACTATTGATGCAGCCTCCTTGTCTGGGGTGACACCCAAGGTTTATTGTCTCACGGCACAGAGATCAAGGACGTGGACACAAAAAGCGTGAGGCTAAGCTGCTTAATAGGTGAAGGAAAGAGAATAGCTCTCTGCTACAGAGAGGGGTCCCAGAAAAACGGGTTGCCAATGTGCAGTGAAATGCAGGGCAGGGGTTATAGATGAGCTAGTTGGGGGGGTGGTTGTTGTCTGATCTACATAATGCATGATAAACTGGTTAGGACTAGGTGTGCCATCTGTATAGGGTGCAAATCTCTGTCAGCCCCCACCCCAATCTTTTATTATGCAGGTAGATTACCTGCCTGAGTTTCTCCATGTTGCTGAGTTCCTTCTTACTCTGCACATGCTAACAAAAAAAAAGAAGGATGCAACTTCCATGGTGGACATGCCTGGCCCCCGGTAGCCCTTTTCTATTGGCACAGCTGCCGTCATTCCCCTGTGCAAGCTTCCAGCTTCCTTATCTACGTTTGCAGCTTGATCTTTCCAGCTGCTCTTTGTTAGAAACAAAAAATGATTTCTAGGGCTGCTTTTTGTTAAAAGGGAAGTTTTGCCGCGGACTCTTTTGCCCTCACTATCTGCCTAAATAATTTCTTTCTATCTTCTATATCACTATCACTAGGATAGTACCAAGGAGGATGGTGCTAAACCATTCATGAGAAAACTGCCCCCATGATCCAATCACCTCCCACCAGGCCATGCCTCCAAAATTGAGAATTACATTTCAATATGAGATTTGGGCAGGAACACACACACAAACCATATCAGCAGTTTTTATGGTTTGATTTTGAAGCATAAAAAGACATGCACATAAGCTGTCTATTCATTTTCTTTGCTGCACAGCCTGGCATTGGGATTGTTTACCCTGATGGCCAGATGGGCTGCTCTTTCCAAGACAGTTTTGGAGTTCTTGGAAGAGACATGGTGAACAATGTCAGTGCAGCAAGATTTGCTACACATCAGCAGCACTTGTGGCTCCTTGACAGTGTGGACCAGGAACTTCCGGAAGGCACTAGGCAGCATGTGTTTTGTTTTCTTGTTGCCTCCATAACCAAAGTTGGGCATCAACATCTGGCCCTTAAATCTTCTCTGCACCTTGTCATCAATACCTCTTGGTCTCCACCAGTTACACTTAACTTGGACCTGTCCGTCTGACTGGTGCCAGATGAATTTCTTGGTCCTCTTTTTTACTATCTTGGGCTTTAGGAGGAATCTACATTTGGTCTGATGCCAAGTAGGAGATGGCTTGCACCTCGGTTGGCAGCACCAGGGAAGAGAGCTCATCAATGTTTAATTGGCAGAAAAGACAAATATAAAGTTGATTTCTGATTCCTGCTTATTCAATGACCCATCACATATGCATGTTAAAAAGTTAAGAACAAGCACTAAGAAAAAGAGAAGTGGAATGTCAAACTTGCAAAACAGTAGAGAATAAAAAAATGGAAAACATTAAAATGAACCCCTTTGAAAAACCGAGGAAATAATAACTAAGGGAAAGTAGATTGTATTATTAAGGCAATTAATTCTATCTGTTCAATTTATCCACCCCAAAATGTCAGTGGCTTAAACAATTAAAAGTAAATCCTCAGTCAACTATAAGTCCAAAATAGGTGTTCCTGGCCTGATAGCTTTTGTCTAAACAGTGATGCAGAGATCTAGGTCTTCCCTATCTTTTGGTGGCCATCCATCTTGCAGGGCCAGAAGCTGAGAGAGGAAATGTTTCAGTTATTTATTACTGTGTAATAAATTACCCCTAGATTTAGAAGCTTAAAACAGGAACATTTGTTATCTCACCGTTTCTGTAAGTTTAGCACAATCCACTGCTTTAGGATCACAAGGCTGCAATTGAGGTCTTGCCTGGGGCTGCATTCATCTCAAAGCTCAACTGGAAAAGGGCTCACTTGCAAGCTCACTTCCAGCACAGGTGCTAGGTCTAGAATGATATCACCTATTGCCGTGATCAAATCACAGCCAAAGCAGGCAATGACCAGCCACATCATCAGGTTTCTACAATGACTCTTGGCTCCAAAAGCATTTCCCTCTAGCTTAAGGGACACTTCACATCTTTTCTCTTACTCCCTATAACTCCATTCGTGAAATTCACATGATTAAATTACCTACAGGACCTTACCAATGAGGATATCTCAGAAGTAGATTTTTTTCTTCAGCTTTCTAATTCCGAAAATCCAAGAAAGTATGTCAGAAACCATTTGAAATGGTTGCCTGGTGCCTGATGGGAGAAGCCTTATACCTATCGCCCTTCCTAACCACTCAGTCACCTCTTTCAAAGCTCCTACTCCACTGTTTCCTACTTCTTTCTTTTGAAAACTCCCCCTCCCTTACATGGGGGAGGATTTTTCTCACCTCATTCCCTTTTTGTATCTTCCAATGTCAAGCACTTCAGAAGTGGGTGAAATCTAGACCCAAGACCAAGGATGAAAGTGTTGATGCAACATTTTCTAAACTCCTAAGTGAACTGGTTCCAAATATTTCCTCCCTACTATGCTAGAGAGAGAGAGAGTATAAATAATGTATCCTGTTGTTTTTTAAATTAATATACGGCTTTTAAGATAACAGAGATAGCAACAGTATATATGAGCATTTTTAAACAATACATTTTGTTTTCTAGTATTCAATTTTTCTGTAATTAAGAAAATATAAAAGCAACTGATCCATTAAAAGTTCAGGCCCTGTTTCTGATATAGTACTCTTGGGACAAATTAGCAGGGAAAAGAAAACGATAGTTTCCGATGATAGGAAGAATGGAGAAGTTATAGATTAGACTTTAGTCATAGGCAATGCATATCCTGCTTTTATCTACGAGCTTCTGAAACCTAGCTGGACTTCTTGTTTCCCCATTTAAAAAGCACCCAAAGAACACATCAGTATGGGTTCGAAAGGGGTTACCACCAATGTTATCATCAACAGTCGTAATCAACCTAAGGGCATAAATCTTGAATCCCAACTCAGGGAAAAGACTCAGAGACCGAGGAGACAGGATGTTGGTGCTACTAATTCTTTCTTTGTGGACCTCACTGCCGATAAAAACCCTGTCCCATAAGAATGTGGTATTGTTATTAATTTAGTTAGCTTACATAATTGTGTTAGGATGGTTTGAGTGAAGGCATATTTTTGCTATTGGGCTTGAAGAAGGGGAAGCAAAACTTTTCCCAGGGTTTCTCTCAAGAAGACTTCTACTGCTTCATCGGATTTTAAATTTCAGGTCTTCCTAACCAAAGACAGACAGACTCCTCAGATCTCTCCTATCCATGTCTCGCCTGTTCTGCCTGTTCCTCTGTGAGAATTTAGATGGATTATCTATATCTCCTTTTCAGTTGGAGCCAGCCTCTTCCATTGTGTCTACAAAGTTCTGTACTTAGCTGTGCCTCTTATTTCTGAAATTTTGTTTATCCAACTCTTATTTTCTTTTATTCTAGAGTTTGCTCTGAATTATACCTTTATTCCACACATAAATTTCAAGTGGAATTTTTAAAATTTTTTATTATTATACTTTAAGTTATGGGATACGTGTGCAGAATGTGCAGGTTTGTTACATAGCTATATGCGTGCCATGGTGGTTTGCTGCACCCATCAATCCGTCATTTACGTTAGCTATTTCTCCTGATGCTATCCCTCCCCAGCTCCTCAGCCCCCGACCGGCCCCAGTGTGTGATATTCCCCTCCCTGTGTCCATGTGTTCTCATTGCTCAATTCCCACTTATGAGTGAAAACATGCGGTGTTTGGTTTTCTTTTCTTGTGGTAGTTTGCTAAGAATAATGGTTTCCACCTGCATCCATGTCCCTGCAAAGGACATGAAATCATCCTTGTTTATGCCTGCATAGTATTCCATGATGTATATGTGTCACGTTTTCTTTATCCAGTCTATTATTGATGAGTGTTTGGGCTGGTTCCAAGTCTTTGCTATTGTGAATAGTGCTGCAATAAACATACATGTACATGTGTCTTTATAGTAGAATGATTTATAATCCTTTAGCTATATATCCAGTAATGGGATTGCTGGGTCAAATGGTATTTCTAGCTCTAGATCCTTGAAGAATTGCCACACTGTCTTCCACAATGGTTGAACTAATTTACACTCTCACCAACAGTGTTAAAACCTTCAGTTTTCTCCAAAACCTTGCCAGCCTCTGTTATTTTTTGACTTTTTAATAATACCCATTCTGACTGGTGTGAGATGGTATCTCATTGCGGTTTTTATTTGTATTTCGCTAATGACCAGTGATGATTAGCTTTCTTTCATATGTTTGTTGGCTGCATAAATGTCTTCTTTTGAGAAGTGTCTGTTCATATCCTTTGCCCACTTTTTGATGGGGTTTTTTGTTTTTTTCTTGTAAATTTGTTCCTCGTAGATTCTGGATATTAGCCCTTTGTCAGATGGATAGATTGCAAAAATTTTCTCCCATTCTGTAGGTTGCCTGTTCACTCTGATGATAGTTTGTTTTGCTGTGCAGAAGCTCTTTAGTTTAATTAGATCCCATGTGTCAATTTTGGCTTTTGTTGCCATTGCTTTTGGTGTTTTAGTCAGTCCATGTGGATTTTTATTCATGATTTGAATTTTGTTTGTTATGGATTGAAGTCCTTTCTGGGTTTCTCCACAGTATCACAATACATGGGTGAGAAATGAGTTTCATTAGGGGGAGAGATCATTCAGAAGGCCAGAGTCAGGGCAGAAATATACTTGATTTCTTGACCTCTCTATCATCAGTTGGAGAGGCTTGCCAGAGCCATAATTTCTGAGAGACAAACAAAGGATTCTAATGCATCACAAGAATCCTCCCACCATGGATCTCTCTTCTAAGGAAAGGAGTCACGACAATGAAGAAACAAACAGGCTGCGTTGTGCCAGGCAAGCTATTGGTAAGAGTTTTCTGGAATCACCTACTGCCCTGTTCTTGGAGAGCTTGCATTCCTTGGTATACCAGTCCTCTCTGCTGGGGGCAAAATATACAGAGAGGAAGCTCCTGCTCCTGGAGGTGAAGGTTTGTGGGGACTGAGTTGCTTGGATTTAGCCCTTTTGCTCTAGGAAAAGAGACAGCTCGGGTCTTAACCACCTTATTATCCAGGAAACCCTGCATGAACTTACAAGGTCACTTTTAGATAACTCTGCTTAATGTGCCATCCCTTCCTTCCTCCTCTCTTCTCCATCATATGGCCAAAATATCAAAAATCCACATTAAGAAAGACCTTTCATGATAGTCTAAGGACATCTGACTTGTCCTAACACCAAGCAGGACAGAGAGTGAAGGTGTTTTGTGGTTGTTGTTTTGAAATAGGATAGGAAAGCAGTGATATGTGATTAAGCAGAACATCATTTATGCATTCAATGAATATGTATTGAGCACCATTCCCACAGAGAGACACTCTTCTTTTAAGCTGTGATTTTCCACAGTGGCAGTGTATCAAATGCCCTAAGGAGGAGCTCAAACTTCCAGCAGGCAAATGAGAATCAGCAGTGAGGCTTTCTCCAGCTCCTTAGGCTTCCCTCAGTATTTGGATAAGCTTCAATAAAGAGCATTCAGGTTTGTGTCTGAAATCTCCACACTAATCAATGACTTTTAATGCTGGGAGTCTGAGTATGCCTCCACAGAGATGAGGCAGAAAAAGAGTGAAAAAACACACTGTTAAAAGAGTATTCCTGAATACGACGAAACAGTGATTACCACTCCTTTTAAGAAAACTGAAAAAAAATGAGATATTTGAAGTTTATATTTTGGTACAGTGGAAGGTGAAATAAAACAAAAAGCTCCATTGTATGATTTTTTTTTTTCACATAAATATACTTTTCTCCCATGTTTATATCTTTGCCATACCCTTAGGTACAGAAGAAAACTTAAACCATCCATCTATCCAACTCCATGTAAACAAATAGGTTTCTAATGTCCTTCCCACATGTGAATTGGAAGAAGCCGATCGAATCCTAAGGTTTAAATATCATTAAGATGGGTCCAATGTACAGAATAAAAATAATGGGATTTTTAAAAAGTAATTCAGAAGTCTTATAAGATCATATTTTTATGTGTGCTTCAAAAAGCTGTAATACTATTTACCGTCAAAAATTGTTTTTAAAAGAACTCTGCACTAAATGGATGATTGCTAGCTTATACAGCTTGATAATTTGTCCTTTGTGAATCATTTAGTTTTATAAATTTAAGTAAAGCCAGAAAGAACTATATATTCACCTATATTACCCCATTGTGTAAATTACATTCAGGGGGTGAATTAACTATGTTGAGCGAAGTATTGACTCCTTGTGGCCACAGGGGTAACATTGAGGAAATTACCGCTCCAGCATAGTATGTAGCACCATGCGGGTCAAGAAAAGGTAGAATATCTCCCAGTTTATGAAATTAACTCCCCAGTAGTGATTTATACGGAAAATTTGCTTTTTTTTTTTCTTTGGAGACACAGTCTTGCTCTGTTGCCCAGGCCAGAGTGTAGTGGTGCGATCTCGGCTCACTGCAACCTCCGCCTGCCGGGTTCAAGCGATTCTTCTGCCTCAGCCTCCCGAGTAGCTGGGATTAAAGGCATGCACCACCATGCCTGGCTAACTTTTTTTATTTTTGGTAGAGACGGGGTTTCATTGTGTTAGCCAGGATGGTATCGATCTCCTGACATTGTGATCTGCCTGCCTGGGCCTCCCAAAGTGCTAGGATTGCAGGTGTGAGCAACTGCGCCCGGCTGACGATTTGCATTTTTGAACTTTTTTTTTTTTTTTTTTTTTAGACAGAGTCTCTCTCTGTCACCCAGGCTGGAGTGCAGTGGCAAGATCTCGGCTCACTGCAACCTTCATCTCTCGGGCTTAAGCAATTCTCCTGCCTCAGCCTTTGGAGTAGCGGAGATTACAGGCGTGTGCCACTATGCTGGGCTAATTTTTGTATTTTTTTAGTAGAGATAAGGTTTCACCATTTTGGCCAGGCTGACCATGAGCTCCTGACCTCCGGTGATCTGCCCGCCTCAGCTTCCCACAGTGCTGGGATTACAGGTGTGAACCACCACACTTGGCCATTTTTAAACATTCTATTAGACAGTAAGGGCTTGATAGTTTTTTATTTTGATTTACACGAAAGATTAAGTTTTTAGTGTCTCGTTCCAAATTGCTCACTGTAGGTTATGGGGTAACATTAATTCTTCCAAGGATTAATGGATACTACTGTTTCAAAAAAAAAGATGAGAGGCATCTCTTTGTTAAATAAGTTTGGTAAACACAATATTACAAAAAGTTAGGCAGGTCTTTTTAATGAAAAAATTTACACTCTTTAATAAAGTATAATGGATTGTGATTTTCCAGAAATGAAATTTGGCATTTATCAAATGTAGATGAGCAAGTTATTCGCCTTTTATTTAAATAAAGTAACATTAACATCTTGCAGAATACTAAGTCTTAGAAAACAGCTAGTCTTATCTATCATAAAATGTTTGTATTTTCAAATCACTCTCCATTTACAAAGCAGAGTCACGAAGTGTTACAGTAGCACTGTATATAGCAAAGACAGTGCTCAGATTTTTATTCCATTCACAGATGGAGAAAACGACCTAAACCTGTTTAATATCTTGACAAAATCCACACAAGCAGATATGTGACATAGAATGATAGGCTCCTGATTCCTAATATCCTTAGGAATATTGGTAACATGTATTTTAAATACTTCCTTTATGTAACTTTTATTATTTTATAATTATTTTTTATAATTTTTATAATTATTATAATTATATTATTTTATAATTATTTTTATAATTTTCTAATTATTATAATTATATTTTATAATTTATAATTATAATATATTATAATTATTATTTTATAATTTATAATTATAATATATTATAATTATTATTTTATAATTATACAAGATAAAATATTAAAATATATATATTTTTGCTTCACTTCAGAGATAAGTAAAATATATTTTCTGTTATCAAAGAGCAGTAGGGAATTTGCTATGTGTACACGGAAAAGCATCAAAATAGTCCTAAAGGGGTTGAATATAGGGGAGATTACATCTGATCTGAGATCAGGAAAGATGACAAGGAGAAAGTGGAGCTGGAGAAAACCATCTGATTTCAAGTTAGAAAAGAAAATATCCCAAGCAGAATTTACCACGGAAGTAAGGACATAAAGACGGGAAACCTCCTAGTCAGTTCATGGAAGGGAATAGTTGGAGACAAGACCACAAAGGGAAACTGGGTCATTGTAAAGTGCTTTGAATTTTAGCATAACTTTACATTTCATTGTGGAGGAGTGGAGAGCCACATCAGTCATTGAAGTTTTGTGATTAGAGGAGTAATATTGTAAGTGGCTTTAAAAGGATTATTGCAATGTACTGAATGTTTTTGCCCCCATGTCTCCCCCAAAAATCTTTCTCACAAAAATCTTATGTTGAAATGCTAATCCCAATTTGATGGTGTTAGGAGGTGGGGCCTTTGGGAGGTGATTAGGTCATGAGGGTGGAGCCCTCATGAATGGGATTAGTGCCTTTCTGTTTCTTTGTTTGTTTGTTTGTTTGTTTTGAGATGGAGTTTCACTCTTGTTGCCCAGGCTGGAGTGCAACGGCATGTGATCTCAGCAAACCGCAACCTCCGCCTCCTGGGTTCAAGCGATTCTCCTGCCTCAGCCTCCCGAGTAGCTGGGATTACAGGCATGCACCACCACGCCCAGCTAATTTTTTGTATTTTTAGTCGAGATGGGATTTTTCCATGTTGGTCAGGCTGGTCTTGAACTCCCAGCCTCAGGTGATCTGCCTGCCTCAGCTTCCCAAAGTGCTGGGATTAAAGGTGTGAGCCACCACGCCTGGCCTAGTGCCTTTCTTTATAAGAAGAAGCAAGACAGCTAGCCAGCCCTTCTCCTCCAAGTGAGGACCACAGGGAGAAATTGACAGTCTGCAACCCAGAAGACAGCCCTACCAGAACCCAACCATGCTAGTACCCCAATCTCAGACTTCTAGCCCCCAGAACTGTGAGAAATAAATTTGTGTTATTTGTAAGCCACCCAATCTATAATATTCTGTTACAACAGCCCAAACTAAGACAATTAATAATTTCCTAAAAGGATTGTTGTAAGAATAAATGATATAATACAGGTAGAGAGCTTAGAATACTGCTTCGCATGTCAAATGTGCTATATAGTATTTTAAATTTTAATTAAATATTTTAATTTTTAATTATCTATTTTAATAATTTTTAAACAAATATTTGTCTACATTTGTTTTTCTGTTTTTATTTTATTCTTCATACAAACTTAATTTTTATCCATACAAACTTTCATTTCATTGTATGTAGGAAAATTCCATTTGTTTATAGAAACATGGCATCTTTTTCAATACAAATGTTATACTTCAGTTGTTTATAGTTATTCATCTTTTAGAACTTCTGGATTTTCGACTTAATTAACAAAGATCCTCTCCTCTAGATAGTAGAAATAGAGTTCCAAGATTTTTTACTAGAGGTATTTTTGTTATTGTTGTTTTATATTTTATATTTGTATCTTTTTTAACTTTTTTAATTTTAGGGGTACAAGTGCAGGTTTGTTACATAGGTAAACTCCTGTCATGGGGGCTTATTGCACAGATAATTTAATTATCCAGATATTAAGCCCAGTAACCATTAGTTATTTTTTCTTATCCTCTTCCTACATTCATATATTTAAACATGATAGGAAACTACCTTTATTTTCTTCTAAATGGAGATCTAGTAGTGCCAGTATCATCATTGTATATCAAATTTTTTCTCTTTGAAACAATGTAATGCTATTGTTATATATTACATACATATATATAGAGAGAGATTGAATTGTCTGTTCTGTTGATCTAGTATCTATTTTAATGCTAATAATGCATTGATTTTATTAAAGTGGATTATTTTTTCATATATCTAGTAATGAAAGTCTTTTCTACTGTTCTTTCTTTTCATCTACTATGGTTGAGCATTTACCCTTTTAGTATATGAACTATAAAATAATTTGTCTCATGCCAAAAAGAATCATTTTGAGGAATTCTAATTGGAATTGCATTATAAATTTTAGGAGAAATAACACACTATAACACTTCTGCTATGAGAACATATATATCTTTCTAGTTCCTTCAAACCTTGTTTATGTACTTCAGTGTTATTTTATAGTTTTTCAATGTAAATCCCTATAACTGTTGTGAATGAAATGGGGTTTTCTTTCATCTCCGTCTCCAAGTACTTATTATTAGTTTGAACAAAATGTATTGATATTTGTATATTGTACAGTATAATATTGTATATTAATTAGACTGGGCTTAATCGAGTGGTTCTTCTGCTGGACTCAGCTGTGCTCATACATTACTTCAGTCACCCAGGAGGCTCTGCTTCAGGGAGGTGGCTTATCAAAATCTCTTTTATTTTAGGTTTTGTCCTTTTGTCTTTTTGTTTTAAAATTGGATGTGGTCTCTAGATATGCAAACATATCATCAACAACAAAAAAAAATCTCTCTCTCTCTTCTTTTACAATACTTATTCCAACTCTTCATTTTTTTTCTCATGCTAAATCCACTGGTACCTTCATGATCATTTTAAATAAATGTTAACAGTGTTGGAGGCCACTGCTTTCTGCACTGTGATTTTAGTGAAATACTTTTAGTGTTACATTATTTCGAATATCATCTGTGGTTAACATAGTAAAAATATTTTTAGCATACTTTAGCAACTTGCTCCTCTTGTTTTTCTGAGAGATTTTATAAGAAATATTCTTATTTATAATAATTACTTGTGAACTAAAAGTAAATTTCTAAGCCCCCTCACACTCACCCCCCAACCATATGAATGGACCTTGCCTCTAGGCCAAGGGCATTCCAAAGTTAACCTAAAAATCTAGTTCACGCCATGATGGGAACGAGTGGTTGGACATGCCTCATTTTATCCTCCTCCCTTTGGAATTCAGGCACAACTGACCAGCATTCACATTAAAATAGAGATCTTAAGACTTGATGTAGCAATAAGACATCAAATTCCAGTGCAACTCTAGTATAGCATCACTCGACAGCAGGCCCTTAAATAAATTGAAATATTTTGCCAAAAATGTATTTCTTTGATATATTTTGAAACGGCCTGGCAAAGCTGTCTCTTGTGGGAAAAAAATTTGTATTCCCTAGAGAATCCCTTTTCCTTTCTAGGTCTTTTCCCTGACCCAAGAGAGAATTAACTAAGACTCTGGCACCTTTTTAAGTATGGTAAGAAACATTTACAGTCTGTTCTCCCTGAAGCCTGCTGTCTGGAGGCTTCATCTGCATAATAAGAACCTTGGTCTCCACAACCCCTTATCCTAACCCAGACACTCCCTTTTATGGATTCCAGGTCTTTAAGTAAACTCTTTCACCCAGTTGCCAATCAGAAAATCTTTGAATCCACCTATGATGTGGAAGCCCCACCCCTGCTTTGAGTTGTCCCATCTTTCCAGACCAAACCACTGTTCATCTCGTATGTATTGATTCATGTCTTATGTCTCCTTGAACAGGCACAGTGGCTCACACCTGTAATCCCAACATCTTGGGAGGCTGAGGTGGGCAGATCACTTGAGGTCAAAAGTTCGAGACCAGCCTGGCCAACATGGTGAAACCCCATCTCTACTAAAAATACAAAAATTAGCTGGGTGTAGGGGTGCACACCTGTAATCCCCGAGGCACGAGAATCACTTGAACCTGGGAGGCAGAGGTTGCAGTGAGCTGAGATCACACCACTACACTCCAGCCTGGGCAACAAAGTGAGACTCTGTCTGGAAAAAAAAAAAAAAAAAAAAACTATAAAACCAAGCCCGACCACCTTGAGTATATATCATCAGAACTTCCTGAGGCTGGGCCACAGACATGTCCTTAACCTTGGCAAAATAAACTTCTAAATTGATTGAGACTTGTCTCAGATACTTTTTGGTTTATATACTCTTTCAGCATTTATTTACATTACCAAATAATCTTAATTTTGTTATAAGAACTTTTGGTTATATTTTCTAATACTGAACTACCTTTCCACTGCTGAATTAAACCTTTTAGCTCTAATACCATTTTCATGGGTTGAATTGTGTCCCTCTAAAAGACATATTAAAGTTCAAACCCAAGTACCTGTTAATTTGCCATTGTTTAGAAATAGGGTTGCAGACATAACCAAGTTAAGATGAGATCATCAGTGTGGGCCCTAATCCCATTTGACTGATGTCCTTATGAAATAAATAGGAGAGATAGACACACAGAGAGAACACCATGTGAAGACAGGCAGAGATTGGAATGATGCATCTATAATCCAAGTAATGACAAGGACTGACAGAAATACCAGATGATGAGAGAAAGACATGCAACAGATTCTCCCCTATAGCTTCACAAAGCTGACACTTTGATTTCAGACTTCTGGCTTCCAATTCAGAAAGAACAAATTTTTGTTAAATAAAGCTATGTAGTTTGTGGTACTTTGTTATGGTAGTCCTTGGAAACTGACGCAACCATCATTTTATACATTGCAGGATTCTACTTGGTAATATTTGATCAACAATTGCAATGTAAAGTATAATTATTTTAAAAGTCTATATTTTATTGATTATGATTTTGCTGTTACTCTAAGATTTTACAATTAACTGGAGAGATACCCATCTTTTTTTATGATTAGACAATTCAACCACCATCAGAATCATCTTTTTTTTTAAGTTAAATGGACCAGTGGTCTGGAATCATTATGCTCCTTTAAGTTTTCATATTTGTTTCCAGTTTCCATATGGCTACTCTCATTTCTGTAGTTATGGTTCATTTTGCGGTCCCAACTTGTCTATTCATAGTCTTTGTTTTATAGTTTCTCTTCTTAGTGAGGAGGAGGGGTCACAAGAGGGTTGGACAGTACTCCAAAGAGGAGAAATAAGCTAGCAGTGCCTCAGCTGGTCACGGCCACTGCAGAGACTTAAAGCAGCTAAAGGGAGGCATCACAAACTGCTGGGTAGCCTGAGTCACATGACTCTAGTGCTCCATCTGCCAACATCCAGTGACAGCGTTTTGTATCAGTTACATAAGTGCAAAAACCACATCAAAACTTAGAAACTTAAGATGACCACCATTTATTTTATGATTCTGGGTGTTGGCAATTTAGGCTGCTCAGCTGGGCTCACACATGTGACTGTAGTCACCCCAGCCTCTCTGCTTCTGGGATGGGCCTGGCTATGAGTTGGGGTGATTGGCATGACTGGGCCACGTACCTTTCATCATCCAGAAGAGCAGCCTGGGCTCTTCCCAGTGGCACAGGACACCAAGAGAAAGCCCCAGTGCACAAAGCTTTTTAAGGCTCCCTTCCTGTCACATTTCCTAATATACCATTTGCTAAAGCAAGTCATTGAAGATAGCTCAAACAGTACGAATGTCACTACCAATGGGAGCAAATAGGAAGGGGAAAAAATTGTGATTATTTTTTGTGATAAACCACACAGTATGCCTATGGAAGAGCCAAGGGTAAGCTGGAATCCCTGCAAGTTTTCATCCTGGGTCAGGAGTGCTTAGGACATATAACAGGATCTTTCAGGGTGTGGATGAATTGCAATTTGTGCGATAGGGGAGGGACAAATTTCTGTCTCCTAGTACAACCGGGAAGAAGTAATAGGTGAAGAAACAACTTTCCTCGTTAGTGTCACATAGAGTAACAAGGAGTTCTCTAACCTCTAGGAAAATCAGAAGAGTGGAAACCACCTTCTTTTAATTAATGTAGTTTTTGCCTGAGTTGTCTAAAAGGGCAGGAAAATTGGAAGAGGGGAAAACTATCCTATTTTTAATTAACTCACCTTTAGTCTGAGGTAGTTAAAAAGGGCAAGTGCTTTTTTTTTGGCAGTCTCAGCTTATCTGGGAAGGGCTGCGAATAGTGGCTATGTTGAAAATTTGAAATGCAAGGCCAGAGGTAAGGCCACTGCAAGGTTGGCATGGCCTATGAGATGGTATATGAACAGAGGATCAGTTACTTTAGGAACACAGAAAATGCCCTTGAGATCTCACTAGACTTCAGACTCATATCTTACAATTTTCCTCAAATCTATTTCTCCAAATGTGTTTCTCTCTTCCTTTATAACTTGAGGAATAACCTTAAAAACCAGCACAATGTGTACAGCCTGAAAATTAGTCATCATGGTTTGCTTGAAACGTAGACCAAGGAGATTTTTGAATACTTCATTTCTTTAAGGAAATACTGCTTTTGGCTGGGCTCATTGGCTCATGCCTGTAATCCCAGCACTTTGGGAGGCTCAGGTGGGCAGATTGCCTGAGCTCAGGAGTTTGAGACCAGCCTGGGCAACATGGTGAAACCCTGTCTCTACTAAAATACAAAAAATTAGCCAGATGTAGCTGTGTGTGTCTGTAATCCCAGCTACTCGAAGGCTGAGGAAGGAGAATCGCTTGAACCCAGGAGGTGGAGATTGCAATGAGCCAAGATTTTACCACTGCACTCCAGTCTGGGTGACAGAGAGAGGCTCCATCTCCAAAAAAAGAAAAAAAACATACACACACACAAGAAAACATTGCTTTGAACAAATATGGCTCTATTACAAAAAGCACAAATTGTATAAATTTTAATGGATGTTAATATATGTGTATAAATAGTTTGATACATATTGAACTTCAATTTCTTTTAGGTGACTCCTGCAATTTTTTTTTTTTTCTTTTCTGAGATGGAGTCTCGCTCTGTCACCCAGGCTGGAGTGCAGTGGCGTGATCTTGGCTCACTGCAAGCGAGCCACCTGGGTTCAAGCGATTCTCCTGCCTCAGCCTCCCGAGTAGCTAGGACTACAGGTGCATGCCACCACGACTGGCTAATTTTTTGTGTTTTTAGCAGAGACGGGGTTTTGCCATGTTAGCCAGGAAAATCTCATTCTCCTGACCTCGTGATCCACCCGCCTCAGCCTCCCAAAGTGCTGGGATTACAGGCGTGAGTCACCGCACCCAGCCAACTCCTGCATTCTTATTCTGACAGTGCTCTGATGGAGGTTGCCAATGGCAGTATTTTACCATAGTGGTCACAAGGATCAGATACAAGTGACTCCCATCCTATTACTCCATCTATTTGGCTATGGGAAATGGTTCAAAGAGAGACGCATCCCAGGGAAAGACAGTCCTCATCCTTGCCTTGCCTTCTTTCATTTATTTATTTATTTATTGAGACAGAGTGTCACTCTTGTCACCCAGGCTGTAGTACAATGGTATGATATCAGCTCACCGCAACCTCCGTCTCTGGGGTTCAAGCAATTCTCCTGCCTTAGCCTCCCAAGTAGCTGGGACTACAGGCGCACACCACCACATCCAGCTAATTTTGTATTTTTAGTAGAGACAGCGTTTCACCATATTGCCCAGGCTGGTCTCAAACTTCTGACCTCCCTTCTTATGTGCTAAGAATAACCTCATTGATTTCAAGACCATGTACTTATGAAGACGTAAAGAAGCCAAACTGACATAATGAAGCTGCAGAACCAGCAGGTGTAGGAAACATGGAGAAAGCCCTTCAGTTGTTCGAGTCCTTGGATACAGGGCTTCCTATCTCCAGATGTCTCCCTGCTTTTTCTGTGGCTTGGTTTCTGGTTACCAATATAACCCACTAAATTCTCAGTTTGCTTAACTTGCTCAAGTTGCATATCCTCTCACAGACAACCAAATTACCCCGAGTAACACAAAGTACTTGTCAGCTTGCTTTATACATTAAAAAATATATATACATTTTTTCTTTCTAAGGGAGTAATTTACTGTGGTTAAATCTTTTTTTGTTTACTTGATGTTTTTCTTTTCTAAATTGGGAAAAACCTCCTGCACTTTATAGGTGAGGGTCTGCAGGAGAGCTGCATTGATACAGGTCCCTGCTGCCTGCCCAAAATCAACAGCAGAGAAGACCTTTCTTTAGAATACTTGGTTTCAAAGATGCTTGTTTATTGTTACTTTATCTGTCCTTGCATAAGACTAAAAGAAACAACGCCGTACTGTCTCAGTGGGAGTTCACCCATTTATGGGAATTGGCTTGATTTTGTGGGAATTTGTCTCTGGGAGATTTTTTTTTCCCCCTCAGGTATATTTAAAAATTAAGGCAGGTTATAAGTCCACCAAAACCCAGATTACAACAACTAAAGTTTTAAAGAGGCAAGTAGGGAAGTTTCTCAAATACTGTGAACTAGCTCATTTCATTTGGCTTATTGTTTGTCAAAAAAATACAATTTTTTTTAAAGAAATGGCATGTTTGTATTGGGGAATTTAATTCTTCCCAATTTTGAAATTTTCCTACCGGATATTGTTAATTGTATCACTGGCGCATTAAATTATTTTGTGCCCTTAAAGCTAGATGGTTGCATGTTTAATTTCTTGAATGGTTATGCAAATAATACAATTGGTTTCCTATAGCACATATGTATAGCATATTTTATGCCATTCAAAAATGAGTGCATTTTCACTGAAACCGAAATGGCTGCAATGTTTTGTGTTGTCTGTTAGTGTTTTGTTTGAACAACTCTGGGACCATAACAAAAATAGCTAGGAAATAATATTAGGTGCATAATATGGTGGTTCCATTAGGTACTATAATCAGAAATAATAGTCAGCAATCCACCTGCCTTTGGACTGCTGTGAATGATTAAGAACCCAGGTTTTATGTGAAGATTTCATGAGCCTCTTGTCATGATCTCATAGAACTTTCTGGATATGAACTCTGTAGTTGTAAATTTGGCAGCTTTTTAATATAAAATTTATTGTTTCTTTACTTTCTTGACGGGCTTTCGGGAAGTAGAGAAAATATTAAATTGGGCTAATAGCTATCTCTACATGCCGAAAGTCCTCTGAGAAATTGGAAATAGGTTAAAATATTAATCAGGAAATACTCAGGTACTAAAATAATCCATGTGCCACAGGTTTGTTGTATTATTTCCAAAAGTAAGACTTTTCCTTAAATGTTGTTTTACATCCCTAAGGAACAAGCACTTCATTGTGAACCTCTTTTCCTAGGGGAGAGAAAGACCTTGAAACTATTGCTTATAACATGGGATGAAAATTACCAAAAGGATAGATTGGCAGAGATTTGGAGTTAGTGTAAAAGAATGTTGCCTGCATCATTCTGACACTACAATGCGCAATTTGCCAACAGTATATTGGTTGCTGTTAATAAAAAGTTGCTACATATTAATTAAGCAGAAAAGAAAGAATTAGCATTGGCACAAGGAGAAAAGGAAATAGATTCAAAACGTAGCGCTTAAAGTGAATGAAAAAATAAAACAATCAAAGAGTAGGGCTTAGACAAAGGTACTTAAAGCCTCAGAAGGCATAAGGAGAAAGAAGGCATGAGAAAAGATTGTAGACAATACCTCTAAGGCTAGTCTACGTCTAGCTTTTCACTTTCAGTATTAGTCTATATGTGAATAAATATACTTGTATGATGCCAGGAGATTGATGCCATTGAATTAATGCTTAGTCGTTTCAGGAAGAGAGTGGATAAACCTTGTTGTTTTCAGGAAGTTTGTGCAGTCTCAGATGATATGGGACCTATACTTACTGGAGCTAATTCTAGTACTCTTTTTCTGAGGGTCCTTCTTGCTCAGCAGTTCAAAGATGTCATGGTTGACGTCTCTTATTCCCTTGACTTTGGCTCATGGCCATGGCATGGCGGCTACAGCTTTAGCTATCGCTTCTGCATTCAAAGCTGGAAGAACCAGTGAGTACACTTAGAAAAGTGGAGTAATTGGGAAACTTTAGAAAACTGGAGTAACTTGGAAACTTTTAAACCTATTTATCAGGAAAGCAAAAGTTTTCCAGGTCTTAAAACTTACATTCCCCAACCTATGTTTCACTGGCCAAAATTAGGTCATATTGCCAGCCCTAGCTACAAGGAAGCCTGGAAAGGTGAAAAACCTGAATGTCATGATTCCCATAGCCCGATCAGGAAGAAAAAAAAAAAAAAATCAGCATCTACTGTGGAAATCCGTTATGGAGTATGGAATTTGTCTGTCATATGACATCATGTACTTACTGTTCTGCACGCATCGAATTGAAGAGACACCCTGAACAGGCTAAGTGTGAGCAACAAGGCTGTTTATTCACTCAGGTACGAGCGGGCTGAGTCCGAAAAGAGAGTCAGCGGAGGGTGGTGGGATTGGAGTTAGTTTCATAGGTAAGGGGTAAACAATGGAAAGTTACAGTTAGGGGCCGTTTTTTCCAGCAGGGGAATAATGTCACAAGGTGCATAGTCACAAGGTGGGGGGAGGTCACAAGGCACAGTATCACAAGGTCAATGGATTACTTTGGGTAGGGCAGGAACATATCACAATGGTGGAATGTTGGAAGGTCGGCTAATCAGTTAAGGCAGGAACTAGCTGTTTCTCCTTCTTTAGTGGTTTTCCTGTTGCTCCAGGCTTTGTGACTCCAGGAGGCCTGTACGTATGGGCCACAGGGGTCACAATGGCTCGACCATGGTGTAGCCCGTTCAGAGGACCTCACGCTTATACACACATGATATACCTATATTCAAAGAAAGCTAAAGCACTTTCATCTTAAGGTAGGATGACTTTAAATAAAGTGACAACTGCACAATAACTAACTTCTGTCCATTTTCTTTCCAGTATTCAAGTCTGACTGTCCCTGTGAAACAAATGTGTCCCTAGACGAAGGCTAGGCAAACTTTCTCCTTAAGAGCAATATAGTAAATATTTTAGGCTTTGCAGACTATGTGTGTGACACTGTCTTTGTCACAACTACTCAATTCTGTTGTTGTGTGAAAACAGCCATATACAATAGGTAAATGAATGAATGAGGCTGCAATTTAAAAAAAACTTTATGAACTGAAATTTGAATTTCATGTAATTTTCACGTCACTAAATATTATTCTTTGCATTTTTTCTTTCAACCATTAAAAACTATGAAAGCTATTCTTTAGTTCTGAAGCCTTACACAAAAACACTGTAGGTCATAATGCTGGCCCTTGCCCTAAGTTATCCACTTTATAATATATCTGTGAAACAAGAATTTAAATGAAAAAGGGGAAAAATATCTATTTTCAACTACCTGTAAACTAAAACTAAAATCCTTAACCCCCATCAACCAACTGAACAAACCCTCTCTGTGACAAGTGGACCCAAACAAACCTGGAAAACTGAATTTCCGGGCCGGGCGCGGTGGCTCATGCCTGTAATCCCAGCACTTTGGGAGGCCGAGAGGGGCGGATCATGAGGTCAGGAGATCGAGACCATCCTGGCAAACACGGTGAAACCCCGTCTCTACTAAAAATACAAAAAATTAGCCACGCATGGCGGCGGACGCCTGTAGTCCCGCTACTCGGGAGGCTGAGACAGGAGAATGGCGTGAACTCAGGAGGCGGAGCTTGCAGTGAGCCAAGATCACGCCACTGCACTCCAGCCTGGGGGACAGAGCAAGACGCCTTTTCAAAAAAAAAAAAAAAAAAGAAACTGAATTCCCAGCCATGATGGGAAAAGAAAGGAGGTCAAACAGATGACTCCTTATACCCCATTCCTTTGGGAGTTCAGACACAACTGCCCAGCATTAGCGTTAAAATAGAAATCATAACGTGTCCAGAATTGGTGGGTTCTTGGTCTCAATGATTTCAAGAATGAAGCCAAGGACCCTCGCGGTGAGTGTTACAGTTCTTAAAGATGGTGTGTCCGGAGTTTGTTCCTTCTGATGTTCGGACATGTTTGGAGTTTCTTCCTTCTGGTGGGTTCGTGTTCTCGCTGGCTTCAGGAGTGAAGCTGCAGACCTTTGCAGTGAGTGTTACAGCTCTTAAAACGGTACATCTGGAGTTGTTCGTTCCTCCTGTCTGGAGATGTTCATTCCTCCGGGTGGGTTCGTGGTCTCGCTGGCCTCAGGAGTGAAGCTGCAGACTTTTGCAGTGAGTGTTAAAGCTCAGAAAGGCAGTGCACACCCAAAGAGTGAGCAGCAGCAAGATTTATTGCAAAGAGCAAAAGAACAAAGCTTCCACAGCATGGAAGGGGATCCAAGCTGGTTGCCAAGGCTGGCTGGGGCAGCCTGCTTTTACTCCCTTATCTGACCCCACCCACATCCTGCTGATTGGTACCTTTTACAGAGAGCTGATTGCTCCGTTTTGACAGGGTGCTGATTGGTGCATTTACCAACCTTGAGCTAGACACAGAGTGCTGATTGGTGCATTTACAATTCCTCAGCTAGACACGAAAGTTCTCAAAGTCCCCACTATATTAGCTAGACACAGAGCACTAATTGGTGCATTTACATAACTTGAGCTAGACACAGGGTACTGATTAGTGTGTTTAGAAACCTTGAGCTACCCAAAGAGTGCTGATAGGTGCATTTACAGTCCTCCAGCTAGACATAAAAGTTCTCCAAGTCCCCACCAGATTAGCTAGACACAGAGCACTGATTGGTGTGTTTACAAGCCTTTAGCTAGACACAGAGTGCTGATTGGTGCATTTACAATCCTCTAACTAGAGGTAAAAGTTCTCCAAGTCCCCACTAGATTAGCTAGACACAGAGCAATGATTGGTGCGTTTACCAACCTTGAGCAAGGCACAGAGTGCTGATTGGCGCATATACAATCCTCCAGCCAGACATAAAAGTTCTCCAAGTACCAACCTGACTCAGGAGCCCAGCTGGCTTCGCCTAGTGGATCCGTCCCTGGGGCCTTGGGTGGAGCTGCCCGCCAGTCCCACGTGGCGCGAGGGCGCGCCTGCACTCCTCAGTCCTTGTGCGGTCAATGGGACCGGGCGCCACAGAGCAGGGGGCAGCGCCCGTTCAGGAGGCTCAGGCTGCATGAGAGCCCACGGCGGGTGGACTCAGGCACGGCAGGCTTCAGGTCCTGAGCCTCCCAAGTAGCTAGGACTACAGGTGTGTGTTATCGTACATAGCTAATGTGTTTTTTTTGTTTGTTTGTTTTTTTTTTTTTTTTTTTTTTTTTTTTTTTGGAGAGATAGGTCTCACTATATGGCCCAGGCTGGTCTCAAAATCCTGGTCTCGAACAATCCTTCTGCCTCAGCTTCCCATGCATGACCTACTGCGTGTGCATGGTGGTTTATATTTTTAGGTACTGTTGAATTTTGTTTGCTAAAAATTTATTTAGGACTTTTGGATCAATATTCACAAGTGAAATGTGTCTACATCCATTTTATGTGTAGTCTTTATCAGTTTTAGAAATCAGATTTACGTGACAGAAGGAGCCAAATTCTAAGAGGTGATTATAAAATGTTACAATGCATAAAGTTTTCTTTTTCCTTTTCCTTGATAATATGATATACTTCTGAACTAAAGAATAGAGATACGTGCCCTTTTCCCAGGGCTGCCAATTAGGCATTATGTCAAGAAGAAAATCACCTACAGTTTTGCAAGCCAGGACAGCCCATCACCCTTAATTTCCTTGAGGTCCCAGTTGGGCCGCTAAGAGTAGTTCCAGTAAAAAAGGTGAAAAGCCATGGTAACAAAAGCCAAAATAGACAAATGGGAATTAACTAAACTAAAGAGCTTCTCCATGGCAAAAGAAACTACCATCAGAGTGAACAGGCAACCTATAGAATGGGAGAAAATTGTTGCAATCTACCCATCTGACAAAAGGTTAATATCCAGAATCTGCAAAGAACTTAAACAAATTTACAAGAAAAAACAACCTCATCAAAAAATGGGCAAAGGATAGGAACAGACACTTCTCAGAGGAAGACATTTATGCAGCCAACAGACACATGAAAAAATGCTCATCCTCACCGGTCATCAGAGAAATGCAAATCAAAACCACAATGAGATACCATCTCACACCAGTTAGAATGGCAATCATTAAAAAGTCAGGAAACAACAGATGCCGGAGAGGATGTGGAGAAATAGAAACACTTTAACACTGTTGGTGGGAGTGTAAATTAGTTCAACCACTGTGGAAGACAGTGTGGTGATTCTTCAAGGATCTAGAACTAGAAATACTATTTGACCCAGCAATCCCATTACTGGGTATATACCCGAAGGATTATAAATCATGCTACTATAAAGACACATGCACACGTATGTTTCATGTGGCACTACTCACAATAGCAAAGACTTGGAACCAACCCAAATATCCATCTATGTTAGACTGGATTAAGAAAATGTGACACATATACTGCAAGGAATACTATGCAGCCATAAAAAAGAATAAGTTCATGTCCTTCGCAGGGACATGGATGAAGCTGGAAACCATCATTCTCAGCAAACTATCACAAGGACGGGAAACCACACTCTGCATGTTCTCCCTCATAGGTAGGAATTGAACAATGAGAACACTTGGACACAGGGCGGGGAACATTACACACTGGGGCTTGTCGGGGGGTTGGGTGGCTGGGGATGGGATAGCATTAGGAGAAATTACTAATGTAAATGACAAGTTGATGGATGCAGCAAACCAACATGACACACGTATACCTATGTAAACAAACCTGGACGTTGGGTATATGTACCCTAGAACTTAAAGTATAATAAAAAAAATAATAATAAAAAACTTAAAAAAGAGGTGTGTCCCTCACAGAAACAATATAATATAAAATCAAGGCTAGTTAAATAGATTTATACATATTTCTATTCTAATATGAAAATAGATTTGACATCTCATGCTCAACTTCCAGTAATGAGGGTTTGGTGTTGACCTTGCTCTTCAGATATGCTGTAATCATTGGATTACATTCTGTGATGGCTAATTTTAGGTGTCACCTTGACTGACTAAGGGATACACAAATAGCTAGTAATGCATTATTTTGGGGTATGTCTATGAGGGAGATTGGTATTGAATCAGTATTGAGTAAGGAAGCTCCACCCTCACTCTGTGTAAACTCTATGTGAACAGGCAGCATAGAATCAGCTGGAGGCCTAAATAGAATAAAAAGGCAGAGAGAGGGAAGGAAGGAAGGAAGACAGATTCATTTATTCTCATTTTCTCCCTCTCCCTTTCCCTCTTCCTTGGACACCTTTTTCCTCCTACCCTTGGACATCAGAACTCCAAATTCTCCAGCTTTGGACTCTGGGACTTGGACCAGCAAACATCTAGATTTTCAGCTCTTAGGCCTTGGACTGAGTCACACCATCAGCTTCCCTGATTCACAGGACTTCAGACTAGGACTAAGCAGCACCAGCTTCCCTGGTTCTCCAGCTTGCAGATGCCATACTGTGAGACTTCTCAGCCTCCATAATCAATTGAGCCAATTCCCCTGATAAATCCTCTTTGATGCAGCTCTACTTCTTTCGATATATATATCTCTCTCTTTTTTGTAGATATCCATTTGGTTCTCCTTCTCTGGAGAACCCTAACTAATACACATTTCATTCTTTGTAAATGGGAATATTTCTAGTTGTTAATATGACGGAGAATAAAATCAAGATACTGGAGTTTGAGGAATTAGACCTATTTAGCAAACCCGTCCAGTGTTGTCTCCTCTTTCTTGAATTATCATGTCAACTGAGTTGCCACTGTATACTCACAGACATAATATTTTTAATGTTCTGCATCTGTGGATTCATTTAGTATAATCACTAATGATATATGTAGAATTTTAAAACCAGTATATTCTCATCACTCATGTTTTCCTCTTATTTAAATAGCTTAAAAATGTAAGTTCCATATAGTTTACAAATGGTTTGTCTTCCTCTTTCCTACTGAGCTGTTTTCCGTGAGCATTCTTAGTTTAAAAGCCA